>NC_000001.11:54553835-54705350 GCF_000001405.40 Homo sapiens | reverse complement strand
GGACTGGCTTGCAGCAGGTGCCCCAAAAGTGTCAGATGAATGAATGAACAAATGAATGAATAGGTTACCAGCCCCTTCTTAAAGCTAAGCCTGGAGGTTGACCTTTAAATGAGCAAAGCTCTTGATGGCCTGAAGAGCAAAGAAGAAACTGAGGACCCAGAGGGGTCTAATGTAGAGGTCACAAGCTGGCAGCCACGGGCCTCAGTAGCCTGCAGAGCAATGACAAGCACAGTGTTTAAAACATGCTACATTCAGCCGGGTGCAGTGGCTCACACCTGTAATCCCAGCATTTTGGGAGGCTGAGGCGGCAGATCACCTGAGGTCAGGAGTTCAAGACCAGTCTGACCAACATGGAGAAACTCCGTCTCTACTAAAAATACAAAATTAGCCAGGTGTGGTGGCATATGCCTGTAATCCCAGCTACGCAGGAGGTTGAGGCAGGAGAATCACTTGAACCTGGGAGGCGAGGGTTGCGATGAGCGGAGATCACACCATTGCACTCCAGCCTGGGGAACAAGAGTGAAACTCCATCTCAAAAAAAAAAAAAAAAAAAAAAAGAGCTACATTGAATGCTAATTCATGTCCTATAAAAATGTAGGGTTTCTGACCAGGCATAGTGGTTCACGCCTGTAATCCCAGCACTTTGGGAGGCAGAGGCAGGCAGATCACCTGAGGTCAGGAGTTCGAGACCACCAGTCTGGCCAACATGGTGAAACCCCATCTCTACTATAAATACAAAAAAAAAATAGCTGGGTGTGGAGGTGCATGCCTATAATTCCAGCTACTTGGGAGGCCGATGCAGGAGAATCTCTTGAACCCCCTAAGGTGGAGGTTGCAGTGAGCCGAGATCGCACCACTCACTGCACTCCAGCCTGAGTGACAGAGTGAGACTCTGTCTCAAAAAAAAAAAAAAAAAAAAAATAGGTTTCTAGCTTTTCTCATGAAACCAGAGGACCTGGCAAGAGAAGGGCCTGCACGGTGAGCTTGAGCTCTTCACCCCTACCTTCAACGGGGTCTGGGCTCTCCAGGGTGCTCAGGGACCACCACTTCCACACCACTCATGATTATCTGCCTGGTCACTGGCCACTGTGAGCATTTGAATTAGTGACCCTGGCCAAGCACTTCCTCCAGACCTCTATTTCCCACTGGAATGTGATGGTAATATCATGAGACCCTCAATTGCAGAGGCTTTGAGCATTACTGATAATGGTGGTGGCCAAAGAGCTTTTCTCAGTCCAGTAACAATTTGTGGCTTTGTATATTTATGTTAGATTGGTGTGGGGAGTGATGGACTCCCCACTCAGATGTCCCTTCACACGGGAGGGATTAATTCCCCCAACTCTGGGCATTGCCTGGGCTGAGAACTGCCTGGCCCAAGGTCAAGCCCTTCCCAGGGTGACTGGCATCCAGTGACAGATGAACACAGGAGTGTACAGACCTGACCCCCAGGCCAAATTTGGGAATCTCGTGGCAGTGTTGGCTGAGGCCTGTGCTGAAGCTACATTGTAACTTGACTTCTCCCTTTGTTATTCCTGTTTCTTCCGCTCCCTTCCATGGGTATTGGTCCCAGGGGCACTCCCTCATATGCTCACTGCTGCCCACAACAACAGGGAAGGTAGATTGAGACCGCGGGCAAATCCTCCCAAATGACATATGGAGGACTAGGCTGTATCCTGCAGAGTTGTGCTTGTGTGTGTGTGTGTATGCGCGCGCGCACATGCACGCGGCTTGCTCCTACCTCATGATGTTCACAGGTATCACCGAGAAAGGAAGCTCTGTGGTTAAATAAGTTTGGGAAACTATTATATGAAGAACCATGAACACATTTCCTCAGCACAAAACATCTCAGAGCCTTTAGTATCCTGATGTCATTGCAAATCTCCAAGAGGAGAATGTCAGTGCAGTATTTCCCAAACTTACTTGTCTTCAAACTTCTTTTCCTCCCTCTGGGGCATATTTTGTGAGACTGGTGTTGCAGGTAATACAACTCTGGGAATTGATGTTGTAGAAAAGGAGCCAGTGTGGCCCTTGAGGCAGGGATCTAATACAAGCAGGCTGTGTTTTAACAAGACCATTCTGGTGGCCTGGGTGGGAAATGGATTGGAGGGGATGGAGTTAAAGGCTGGGAGACCCCTTGGGTGGCTGGGCCAATAGCCTAACTGAGGGGTGTCGGTGCCCTGAATTAAGGGCAACGATGGCAGCAGGGTGGGGAGGGAAAAGCAGATTCCAAGATACTCGGGATATTTAAGATTGATCAAATGTGGAGGGTGAGGGAGATGAAGGAGCCCAAGAGGATTCTAGGTTTCTGCTTGGGGGCTCTAGAGGGAAAAGGAGGAATTGAAAGGAAAAGGCACAGGCTCAAAAGAGACAAGCTGAGCTTGAAGTGCCCGTGATCATCGTGGGAGGTATGCAGGAAGCCACTGAACAGAGAACACACTAGAAGTCAGGAGAGAAGCCAGAGGTGGAGAGGAACGTTCCAGAACCAACAACTTGTAGTTGGTCATGGAAATAGGATGCTGGTGGGAAAAGAAGGAAGAGAGAGACACAGAATTCGCCACCTCCAACATGCTTGTAAGGAACCACTCTACTCTCTGGGAGCACTCACAAGGCACTTGCAAATTTTGGCCACTGTCTGCTGTTGGTTGTCCCAGGGCTTCCGGCTATAAGCTCTTTTTGGCAACTCCCAAGCCATGAAGTAAGAACAGCGTAACAGGGTCTTCACACACTTCTGGGAACCAATAGGAAGAAAATATCAGAACTGTGGACAGCCAGACTATGGTCCAGAAAAAGGGATTTTGAAAACTCAGTTTCTATTTGAAATTGTACAAGTGAAGCTGACCATTTTTAATTTTTTTAATTACTATTATTTTATTTTTATTTTGCCCATGATTTAGGACCTTTTTCTTTTTTTATACATCAGCTATGACCAGAAGCTGGCCGTGTTGAGGAAGAATCCTGATGTGGGCACCTTTAGAAAACAGACATGGCTGGACATACATAACTGCCCCCAGGATTGTTTGAGACTCTGGCTTGGTTAACGTAAAAAGAGGTGCGCCCACAGGACCCGAGGGAGGGGTAGAGGGTGCAGGGCCCACGCACACTCACCTGGCTTACCTTGGAGTTGCCCTCCTGCATGGTCAGCAGTAGGGGCACCAAGGTGCTGACCAGCTGCTCCTCCATGGCCTGAGTGCGTGGTGCCCGAAGCTTCTGGACCACCTTCCCATACAGGTTGATGCAGGAGGAGCGCACGACCTCTCGTGCCTGGGGAAGACCAAAGGCTCAGAGGGGGTCCCTCCTCTGGGACGCCACTCACTGCGGCTGATTCAGAGCCATTGTTCCTCTCACTCAAGCCTAGGTCTGGAACTCTCCCGACTCTTCCCAGCCAGACCCCCACTAACCTAAAAGGCACCTGAGTGCTAAGTAGGAAAATGCCTCCCTCTCCTCCTCTGCTAGGAGCAGTTTAAAGAAAAAAAAAAAACTGGCCAGGTGCTGTGGCTCATGCCTGTAATCCCAGCACTTTGGGAGGCTGAGGTGGGGGTGGATCACGTGAGTCCCAGGAGTTCAAGACCAGCCTGGGCAACATAGGGAAACCCCATCTCTACAAAAAATGCAAAATTAGCTGGGCATAGTGGTGCATGCCCATAGTCCCAGCTATCAGGAGGCTGAGGTGGGAGAACTGCTTGAGCCAGGAAGGTCGAGCTGAGATCTTGCCACTGCACTCCAGCCTGGGTGCCAGAGCAAGATCCTGCCTTTAAAAAGAAAGTACCCCCTCTAGATGAACCAGTCACAATAGATGACCCTTTCTGGGGAGACTCGATTGTGAAAGAAGAGCTTCCTCTGTCAGAACCAGTTAGAATAAGGAACATTTACAAAAAGATGTGGACCAGCTGGGACAAAGTTCCTCTCCCAGTAGGCTGACCCAACACTGCCCAGGTCCTGATGGGGGCACAGGTGGAAATGCAGCCCCCAAGGTAGTAAAAGACCCCCTTCTCGATCCCTCCTGCTCCTTCGCTCTGTGAGGTCCTCACGTCGCTGAAGTGCGGCAGCAGGATCTGCAGCATCTCCACATAGACCGCACTGTCCATCAGCTTCTGGTCCCGCCCCTTGAAGACAGCCTTGAGGTTGTGGACCGCTTCCACCACCAGCATCCCATCCATGTTCTTCAGGCCCTTCACCATGGAGGGCAGGAGGGCCTTCACCTTGGCGGTCTGTGGGGCAGGAGCATTTGGGATGAGGGCTCCTATCTGAGCTAGCAAGTAGGAAGAGACCCAGCCTCTGATTCACTGAAATGAACTTGGTGGCCCAATCCCCACTTCCAGGCCTTGGCCTATGCCATCCCACCTGCCTGGAATACCCTCACCCAACCTCTTGCTGCTCCTCAAAGCCTTCTTTGGCCTCACTGACTCGTTGGCCAGGACCCCTGAGGCCCTTTGCTGTCTACCCCCTTCCTTGGCTCTAGGTAGATGACACGCTGTGTTGTTAGTTAGCTTTCTGAGTCTATGTCCTGTCCTTTCATAGCAGCTACATCATGAGCTGCAACAGTGCCTGGTAGAGAAAAACAAAGCACTTTAAAAAATGCTAATGATGCAGCAACAATCTGGGCTCTGTTTCCTTATCTGTAAAATAGGAATACTTGTGCCACCCTTTGCCCTTCCTATACACACTGCCTTTAGAATCATTGTGAAAAACCTAGATTAGAAACTATTCAAAAGGAATAAAATATATAGATTTTTAAAGGATATCTATTTTACAGATGGGACAACTGAGGCTAAGATAGAAATGATGTCTCATTCCAGCTGTGGGCTTCTGAGGTACTATAATGGTGAAGCTCTGTCCTTCCTCCAGTCTGGGGCCTGGCTGGGCCAGGCTTTCCTCTGCCTCCCACTCACCTTCTCAGACCTGCGGGCCAGGATGACCAGGCCTCGAATGGACAGCACCTTCATGATGGGGTCGTGGTGGCTCAGGCCTTCTGCCATCCGCCCCAGAGAGTATTCCTCGGGGATCCGGCGCACCTGCTCCATCTGGAGGAGCTGAGGGAGCAAAGGGTCATTACTTCCCAGGCTGAGGGGGGCAGGGCAGCCCCCTGGCCTCCCATGCACTGGGATTGCACATTGGATACCAGGCTCAGCTCTGCCCGGAGCTTCAGACTTGCAAAACCAACAGATTGCTGGAAGTCTCCGTCTGATGTCCATCAGCACCATGTGGCAAAGCTGAGTGTGTCACTCTCCAGCTCCGAGCCCCTGTGACTGCTTGTTGTTGCCTTTCCCATGAGATCCTGTGGCCTCATTAACAGCAGCGTGCCCACCCTCCAGCCCACACCCTCACCACCAGCCAGCCAGCTTCCAACCAAGCTGTCTCCTGTTCTCTGAACTACCCAGGCTGTTCCACCCCTTCTGTGCTGGCAAAATGCCCTTCTCCTGGGATGCCCACCTCCACTCTGACCCCTGCCACCTCGCAGGGCTCCATCCAAAACTCAGAGCCTTAAAGCTAGGCTTGACACTGCCCCTGGCCTCATTTAGGCTGACTGCCTCCTTCCCTGGGCCCTTGGGTGCCCTGGACTTCCTCCTGAGGCGACAGCTGGAAACCTTCAGTGCCTCCATCTGCCTCCCCTATCCAACAGGGGATTTCCCTGAGGACAAAACCCGAGTTGTTCCTCCATGGGCCCCTGTTAGCTAACATCAACTCTGGTGCGGAATATGTGCTCAGGGACTGCTTGCTGCATGAGTTCAGGTCCAACATGAATCTTGGCTTGGGCCGGGCACGGTGGCTCATGCCTGTAATCCCAGCTACTCAGGAGGCCAAGGTGGGTGGGTCACCTGAGGTATGGAGTTCAAGACCAGCCTGGGCAACATGGTGAAACCCCCATCTCTACTAAAAATACAAAAAATTAGCCGGGCACGGTGGCACACGCCCCAGCTACTCGGGAAGCTGAGGCAGGAGAATCGCTTGAATCTAGGGTGTGGAGGTTGCAGTGAGCCAAGATCACACCACTGCACTCTAGCCTGGGTGACAAGAGCAAGACTCCACCTTGAAAAGAGAAGGAAATAAAGAAAGAAATAAAGAGAGAGAAGGAGGGAGGGAAGGAGGGAGGAAGGAAGGAAGGAAAGGGGAAAGAAGGAAGAAAGGAGAAAGAAAGAGAGGGAGAGAAAGAAAGAAAGAAAGAGAAAGAAAGAAAGAAAGAAAGAAAGAAAAGAAAGAAAGAAAGAAAGAAAGAAAGAAAGAAAGAAAGAAAGAAAGAAAGAAAGAAAGAAAGAAAAGGCCAGGCAAGGTGGCTCACACCTATAATCTCAGCACTTTGAGAGACTGAGGTGGATAAATCACCTGAGGTCAGGAGTTTGAGACTAGCCTGGCCAACATGGGGAAACCCCATCTCTACTAAAAATACAAAAATTAGCTGGGCATGGTGGCAGGTGCCTGTAATCCCAGCCACTCAGGAGGATGAGGCATCAGAATCACTTGAACCTGGGAGGGGGAGGTTGCAGTGAGCCAAGATGGCGCCATTGCACTCCAGCCTGGGAGACAAGAATGAAACGCCGTCCAAAAAAAAAAAAAAGAAAGAAACTTGGCTCCTTTCCTCCTTAGGCATGCCCTCCTCTTGCACTCCCTGTGGCAGGGTTAGCACTACCAGCCCCCCATCGTCCAAGCTGCACACCAGCCTCACCCTTATCCCCCTCCTCTCCCCCACTGGCCTCCCCACCCACGGCAGCCAACAGGACTTCGATGCCTGCTGCATGACTCTCACAAACGCTTCTCCCCTCCATGCCCTTGCCTGACATCTCCTGTGACTGTTGAGCCCGTGTGTCTGTATTGTGGGAGGAAAGAGCTGGGGAGGCAGAGCTGGAGGAGGGGGCAGGACAGGTCACCGGGGGAGGAGGCAGAAAAGGAGGGGCTCCACCTATCACCCGCCATCCACCAATTCACACCACCAATATTCAGGCCTGCTGTGCACAGCTTCTGGGCTGGGCACTGGAGACACGGAAAAGAGTCATGAGAACCCTAAAAGCAATTTAACTGACTCACAGAGAGCACTTCCTATGTGCCAGGCACTGTTCTAAGTGCTTTATGTAAACCTGACCACTCTAGGAGGTGGTCAAGTCATCATCCCCATACTACAGGTGAGGAAACAGAGGCACAGGCAGGTTAAGTGACTTGTCCAAGATGGCACAGCTCCCTTAAGGAGTTCACCTTCCACTGGGAGAAGCAAGCACACACACCATCACAGCAGAGAGGGCGACAGGAAGCCGGGGCGGAGGGGACGAGGGTGAAAGGGGCATCTGAGCTGCATCAAAGTGCCACGGCTTTAATGGTGGGGCTGACTGGCCAGGAGCAGACACCTCTTCTGGGGAGGTGGAAAAGACTGAACCTGGGCCAAGACCCTTGCTGCAGGGCGGAAGGGCTGCTGGTCAGGAGTCCAGGGAATGGTGGGGAGAAGTTAAACCTAGAGTCCCTGACTTTGTGGTGGACACAGGAATGCCCCATAAGGTCTGGCAAGATCCACCCTCCCTCCTCTCCTGCAAGAACCCATGTGGTAGACACTAACAGACTTAGAAGTGCCTCTCCAAGAGGCTGACCAAAGTAGAGGACCGTGTCAGGCAGGCCTGTTCTGAATCTCTCTGGACTCTCTGAGCTCTGTGACCTTAAAAAATTCCCCTTAACTCACCTAAGCATGAGTATCACAATTCCTTCTTCGCAGGGTTGCTGTGCAGATTAGTGAAATAACATTTGAAAGAGGTCAATACAAGTGTTTGGCACATAGTAGGCCTGTAAGTAATGGTAGTTTCCCTTTCTCTTTCCCTCACCATGGTCAGGGAAATTGGAGTTAGAACTGGATGGAGCTGGGGCTGGAACCCAGGACTCCCGACCCCAAGGCCAGGTTTGCTCTCCCTGGAGGTGACACATTCTGCTGGTGACCTGCAGTATTTGTTCAGGCACTCCTTCATCCATCCCATCCCCACTTCTTGGGGCCCTCCTAAAGCTGGACCTGGGGGTGCAATACCAATGTGACATGGTCCCTTCTCCCAACTCATAGCCCACCTGCAGTGGCAGAAAAGATGACAAAAGTACCTAGGATGCCCATGCTGCCTCTTGTTCATTTGGCAAACTTTAAGGTTCAGTTTAAATGTCATCTCCTCCAGGAAGCCTTCCTTAACCTTCACACTATCCAAGCAGACAATGAGCCTCTTGCCTCTGAGCCTCACTATACAGATCCTAGTTTAGCCTAGACCTGCCTCATGACAACCATCAGGTCACAAGAACTAGGCAAGCGTGGTGGTTAAAAGAGTGGGTTTTACGATGTCAGCCAACAGACAAATGGATAAAGAAAATGTGGTATGTACATGCAATGAAATATTATTCAGTCTTAAAAAGTAAGGAAATTTTGACTAGGCGTGGTGGCTCACACCTGTAATTCCAGCACTTTGGGAGGCTGAGGTGGGAGGATCATTTGAGGTCAGGAGTTCGAGACCAGCCTGGCCAACATGGGGAAACCCAGTCTCTACTAAAAATACAAAAATTAGCTGGACATGGTGGTGCTTGCCTATAATCCCAGCTACTCGGGAGGCTGAGACAGAAGAATTGCTTGAATCTGGGAGGCGGAATTTGCAGTGAGCCAAAATCACGCCACTGCACTCCAACCTGGGCAACAGAGAAAGACTCCATCTCAAAAAAAAAAAAAAAAAAAAAAAAAAAAAAGTAAGGAAATTGTGATGCATGCAACAGCATAGATAAATCTTGAAGACATTATGTTTAGGGAAACAGCCAGGCACAAAAGGACAAATATTGTATGATTCCACTTACATAAGATACCTAGAATAGGCAAATTCATAGAGATAGAGAGTAGAATAGAGGTTACTAGGGGCTGAGGGAATGGAACGGGGAGTTTGTGTTTAGTGGGTGTTGAGTTTCAGTAGTGAAAGATACGAAAGTTCTGGAGATGAATGGTGGTGATGGTTGCATAACAATATGAATGTATTAATGTCATTGGACTGTACACCTAAAATGGTTAAAATGGCAAATTTTATGTTACGTATATTTTACCACAATTTTTTAAAAACTAAAAGGAAAGGGGAGGGTTTTAGAGCCCAGATGTCTTTATTTGAATCCTGGATCTGCCACTTACAAGCTGTGCGGTCTTGGGAAAGTTTCTTAAATTGATGCCTCAGGGTTTTTTTTCTCTAAAACGGGGCATGGAATAGTATCTGCGTCATAAGATTAGTATGAGACCAAATGAATCAATGTGTGTCAAGCTCTTAGAACATGCTTGGAAGATATTAAGTGCTCAATAAATATTAGCTGTTATTATTAGCAAGTCTCTCTCTTCTGGGTCTGTCCCCACCAACTTCTCCTGACTCACCTCTCCCTAGCACCTCCCCAACACACACTCAGCTTAGATGTCACCTCCTCCAGGAAGCCCTCCCTCCCTGATGCCTCCCTCCCTCAAGTCACTTGTTTCCCCACCACAGCCTAGATGGCCCCATCATAGTACAAATCACTCACTGGTATCACCCCCTGTTATAACTGGGGTGTCCTCTGTGTCCTCTGCCACACCAAAAATTCCTTGAGGGCAGGGTAGAGTCAAATTCACATTTATATGTCTCGTGCCTGACACACAGAGGTGCCCAGCAAAGGTTGGTGGTTCCCTGGGCACTAGGGGAGTCTGGTTAAGAGTGGAATGGAGTAAAGGGTGGAGAGACAGGGAGGGGAGGGAGGGAGACCAACAAGATCATCATAGTCAAGAGAAGTCATGCCCATGGGAAGGCTTTGTAAACTATAAAGTACTGTTTACATAGGAGAAATGACCAGTGACGTGAACCGAGGCCCGGGAGGAGCTCCCGCTGTGTACCCGCTGCCCCCGTTGGTACCTCCACGAAGAAGGCGGTGGCCGTGATCCTGTGCTTCTCGTCGCCTCGCTCCAGGAGCGGGATGAGCAGGTAGAGGATGCGGCACAGCTCCTGGCAGGAGTACTGCACCATGGCCCTGGGGGTGGGAAGGGGGAGTAGTCCCCTCAGGTATCCAGCCCCAGGGGGACCTGTGGGGGGGATTTGCTTGTGACACTGGAAATCCTGGGTAAGCCAGGATCACCTGGATTCCTGCGTTCCCAGGATTTTCCACCTGGGTGGGATCTCAGAGGTCATCTGGTTTCACTGCTTCATTTTACAGATGAAGAAACTGAAGCCCAGAATGGGAAAGAGACTTGCCTGAGGGCACAGCACAAATCAGTAAGAGAGCCAGGCTGAAGACCCTCAGCTGCACAGGACCACGTCAGGCAGCAGAGAGAGGAAGGAGAGGATGTGAAGGCCCACTCACCAAGCGCCAGGCAGCAGGCACATGCTTTCACATTGTTACTCCATCTGATCCTTCGAAGCAGGTTGCTGTTATTATCCCCATTTCATAGATGAGGAAACAGAGGCTCTAAGTGTGAACCGCCCACGGTCACAGAGCTAGAAAATGGCCGAGCTGGAGCCCCAACCGAGGGCTCACATTCCAGCTGCCTCGTTCATTCTACTAAGCCAGTGGTCCTCTCAGTGCCACCCCCACTCAACCAGAGTATTAGCATCAGCTGGGAGCTTGTTAGAAGTGAACCATCCCAAGCCAGGCGCGGTGGCTCAGGCCTGACCACTTTGGGAGGCTGAGACGGGCAGATCATTTGAGGTTGGGAGTTTGAGACCAGCCTGGTCAACATGGTAAAACCCCGTCTCTACTAAAAATACAAAAAAAATTGACTGGGTGTGGTGGCGCATGCCTGAAATCCTAGCTACTTGGGAGGTTGAGGCAGGAGAATCACTTAAACCCAGGAGGCAGAGGTTGCAGTGAGCCAACACCGTGCCACTGCACTCCAGCCTGGGCAACAGAGTGAGACTCCATCTCAAAAAAGAAGTGCACCATCCCAGACCTACTAAGCAGGAACTCTTAGGGTACGGGGCACAGCAACCAGTGTTTTAACAGGCCTGGCAGTTAATTCCGTTGCACACTCAAGTCTGAGGAGCACTGCATTATGCTCCACCATCAGTGAATCCAGTGCAGTCTGGCAATCATGCATGGAGTGCAGAATGAGACAGCTGGGTTCAAATCCTGGCCCCAGCACTAGCTGTGTGACTTGGGGAAAGATGCTTAACTTCTCTGGGCTTCCATTTCCTCATGTATAATGCTGGGATAATAATAGTGCTATTTCACCGAGGGACGTGGCTCACGCCTGTAATCCGAACACTTTGGGAGGCCAAGGCGGGCAGATCACCTGATTTCAGGAGTTTGAGACCAGCCTGGCCAACATAGTGAAACTCCGTCTCTACTAAAAACACAAAAATTAGCCAGGCGTGGTGGCGCATGCCTGTGATCCCAGCTACTCTGGAGGCTGAGGCAGGAGAATCGCTTGAACCCAGGAGGCAGAGGTTGCAATGAGCAGAGATCACACCACTGCACTCCAGCGTGGGCGATAGAGCAAGACTCTGTCTCAAAATAAATAAATAAATAAAAGTGCTATTTCATCAGTCACGGTGAGGATTAAATGGGATCATGCATGTGACAGATCTCTGCATGGTGCCTAGAGCATAGTAAGTGCTCAACAAATGTGACTGTATCCTGAGACCCTGGGGAAAGCACCACCCGGGGCACTCAGGGTACAGGGCTAAGATGCAGGCTTTCCTGCAGGAGTCACAGCATTGGAATCAAGGTGCTCCCTCTTGACCCCGTGGGAAGCTGTGCATGGCCTGGGGAAGAGCTTTAGTCTGGGTCAGCAGGTCACTTCCCACCTCTGCCATGTCCTGCCTGTGTGACTTCGGGCACATGACAATTCCTCTCCAGACTTGGCATGTTTCTGTGCAAAATATGTGTTAATCACCCCTGCCCCACCAGTGACTATAACTATAGTAAAAATTAGCCTGTGTGGAGCTCTTACCATATGCCAGGGGCTATTCAAAGTACTTTTTTTCAGGCTGGAGTACGTGGTGCCATCTCGGCTCACAGCAACCTCCACCTCCTGGGTTCAAGCAATTCTCATGCCTCAGCCTCCCGAGTGGCTGGGACTACAGGCACATGCCACCACACCCAGCTAATTTTTGTATTTTCGGTAGAGATGGGGTTTCACTATGTTGCCTCTGCAGACCCAACTGACACTTACCATCATGTACTACACATTCAAATGGGAAAGAACAAAAGAACTGACACAAAATATCAGAAACGCATTGTTGATAACTGTGTCTAAAAGGCAGGTTCAAGCTGTTCTTGAACTCCTAACCTCAGATGATCCACCCGCCTCAAACACCCAAAGCACTGGGATTACAGGCATGAGCCACCATGCCTGGCCTATTCAAAGTACTTTAATTAATCCTCACCCCAACCCTCAGAGGTGGGTCTGACTATTATTTCCATGCTATTGAAGGAAAGTGGAGACTCAGAGGGAAGTAACTTGTCCCAGGTCACACAGGTGGCAAGTGGTAAGCTGGGATTCAGATGCAGTCAGGCCATCTCCAAGGCCACACCTCAACAACTTGGTTATACCACCATTTCTGTTTTGGCATGGGAACTAAATTCATAATGCACTAAGGAATGGTGCTTTGTGGATAGTCTAAGTGCTCCACAATTGCCAGGAACCTCTGAAGAGTGAGTGCTATCTTTAACATTTGTATTGTCTACCTGCCAAGGAAGACAGCACCCTCCCAGTTGTAGAGAAGAGGTGACAGACTGAGCAAAGGGTCTTGCCCAGGGAGAGATGCAGACCAAGTCCGTCTGAAGATCCTGAGGTCCCCCTCTTTCTCCCTCCCACCCCAACCCCAAGGTGGTCCCGGGACTCACCTTGCCAGCAAGGCCACTCCGCGGTGGTGGCTCTCCACCTGCTCCATGAGCTCCCAGCCACCCTGGTCCTCCAGAAACGTGGTCTCATAAGAGCAGCCCATCCTCAGTAGCAGGGTTTTCACCACTTTCACCACCCAGCTGCCAAGACAAGGCAATTAAGACCTCATGCCTACCTGGGCCCTAGCAGGCCAAGCCTCCCTCCACCCCGGCCTCTCCTGCCATCTGGCCCGACAAACTTCTCTTCACCATTTTAGGTAGGGGTATTCAGTGTATCCACAAAGGGTGGCTTTTTACAAATAATCATTAGCTTTTAGAACAAGAGAGGAAACAGAAGCAAAGTCCACCTCCCTATGAAGGCTGTGCTTTTACCTCTGGGACCAGCCTCTCTCTCACCCTCCACTATGCATCAGCCATGGGCTGGGCAGGCAGCCTCTCTGCTCACTCACAGTCTCCTATGTGGGCCGAGTCCTTCTCCAACTCAGGACACTTAAGGAGTGATTCTCAAACTGCATACCCAGCAGCAGCACTTGGGGAGCTTTTATGACCTACCAACTGACGAGACTGGGGCTCTGGCCAGTGCTTGTCAAGCTCCAGAATGAGCCTAAGAAGCCCTGGGAGGGCACTGACATCCTACTGTATGCCTGGCACCGCACTGTGTGTTCATACATGGGGGGTGGGGGGGAGGAGAGAGAGAGAGAGAGAGATCAGACAGAGGTTTCTAGATACACACACACACACACACACACACACACACACACTTTTTTTTTTTTTTTTTGTCGCCAGGCTGGAGTGCAATGGTGCGATCTCGGCTCACTGCAATCTCTGCCTCCTGGGTTAAAGCAATTCTCGTGCCTCAGCCTCCCGAGTAGCTGGGATTACAGGCATGCGCCACCACACCCGGCTAATTTTTGTATTTTTAGTAGAGACGGGGTTTCTCCATGTTGGCCAGGCTGGTCTTGAACTCCTGATCTCAAGTGATCTGCCTGCCTCAGCCTCCCAAAGTGCTGGGATTAGAGGCATGAGCCACAGCACCCAGCCTATATACACTTTTATTAAAATAAAAACTGACACTGTATAGAATAAAGCTTACATTTAAACAAAGTTTTCCAGAAACCTAAACATTTGCTGAAAGAGTTTATGGTGCACTTTGTGGACATACCTCAGCTGATAGTGAGAGCTGGTGGCTCTCATGATTCAAAAGAAAGGACTTAAGTAATTAGGTAATCCTCAGAAATTTGCCCTTCATTTTCATGTTTTTGCTTTTGTAATGATCCAGTGTGAAAATAAAAGCTTCTCCTGAGGGCAGAATTTTGGAATCATTCAACCTCTGTGCTTATTCTTTGAAATGTGTGCCATCAATGATAGTCCCTACTGGCAATGCCTCTAGCATTCAGAGTTACAAACAAAAGGGAGGGAGAAAGACAGGCAGGCTCAGAGTGTTGTCCAATTCTCCCATCACCATTCTCTTCCCTTTGCAAGTACTGGCTGAATGGCTAAGCTGAGATGTACAGGTTTTTGTTTGGAGAAGAAAGGTTATTCTCTTAAAGTTCAGGCACTAGCACCTTTACCTAAGACAGAATGAGCCTCCTGCATATGCTCCTCCGGTGACTGGACCACCCTCCCCTCCCTGTGTGTCCCTATCTCCAGGGTCATCATTTTGGACACCTTCTTACAAACTGGCTTGGGCACAGATTGAGCTCCAGAGCTCAAAAGGGAATGACCTGACTTAGAGGTTCCAGATAGCCATGGCTTGGCCAGTCCTCCCAGTCCTCATTTGTGTTGCCTGATGAATATGTATTTAGGCCAAAACTTCTGAATTCGCCAGGTGCTGTGGCTCACGCCTGTAATCCCAGCACTTTGGGTGGCCGAGGAGGGTGGATCACGAGGTCAGGAGATCGAGACCATCCTGGCTAACATGGTGAAATCCTGTCTCTACTAAAAATACAAAAAATTAGCCGGGCGTGGTGGCGGGCGCCTGTAGTCCCAGCTACTCGGGAGGCTGAGGCAGGAGAATGGCGTGAACCCGGGAGGCGGAGTTTGCAGTGAGCTGAGGTAGCGCCACTGCACTCTAGCCTGGGCGACAGTGAGACTCCGTCTAAAAAAAAAAAGGAAAAAAAAAAAAACTTCTGAACTTCTGAACTCAGAACTGCATCATTCGTAGTTGATCCTCTCTGTCATTTCACCTCACTCCCTCAATCAGGCTTCATATTTTCACAAAAGTGAGCCTGGGTTTCCACACCCCCTCCCTCCCACCCTGACCCCAAGGTGATCCCAGGCCTCATTTCCCTCCCTTCTCACCCCACTCCCAAAGTTATACTTGCAACAGCCCAAATGGCGCCCGTGCTGCTTCGTGAAAAAATAGAGTTGAAACTTTTGGGAGGAGGGCTGTGCTGTGGGTGGTGGGGTGGCTCTTGTGTCCCCAAACACTCACTCTGCAAGTTTTACCCTTCTAAAAGGCTTTCTCTGCAAAGTAGAGCAAGGGACACCTTGAAATATTTATTCTCTGTCCCTGCACTGGGACACCAGAGCCAATGATTGATCTGACATGGAGTTGCTTTCTTTTTTTGAGATAGGGTCTAGCTCTGTCACCCAGGCTGGAGTGTAGTGGCAAGAACATGGTTCACTGCAGCCTTGATCTCTTGGACTCACACGACCCTCCTGCCTTATTCTTCCAAGTAGCTGGGACCACACACCTGGCTAATTTTTTATTTTTTTGGAGTGATGGGGTTTCGCCATGTTGCCTAGGCTGGTCTCAAACCCCTGGCCTCAAGCGATTCTCCTGCCTCAGCCTCCCAGAGTGCTGGGGTTACAGGCATGGGCCACTGCACCCAGCTGGAGCTGCTTTAAAGCCCAGGGCTGCTGAAAGTTTCACCTTCCTGGAAGGCACAGAAACTGGGCTTCACAGGACAAGCTCTCAGGCCACTCCCTCCTCCTCCTTCAAACCCAAGCTGTTTGCAGGGGTAATTGTTGCACTCATTACCAGAGCCTGCCTCTCCTCTCAGGAGGATGTGACCGCCTTGTGTGCTGATGCCCCGTGGAGCTATTCCACCTCATCACTGCAGTCTGGAGCACGGACAATTTGCTCTGGTGCCATACCCCAGAGGATTCATTTCCTGTACAAATCACCACAACCTGGGTGGCTCAAAACAACAGAAATATATTTTTTCGCAGTTCTAGAGGCCAGATATCCAAAATTAAGGTGTCAGCAGGGCCGCAGCCCTCTGAAGAGTCCAGGGGAGAATGCTTCCTTGCCTATTCTGGCTTCTGGTGGCTTCCAGCACTCCTTAGCTTGTGACCACATCACTCACTCTTTGTCTTCATCAGCCTTCTCCCCTGTGTCTGGGCCTCTCTTCTCCTTATAAGGCCCCTTGGCACTGGATTCAGTGCCCACATGGTTAATCCAGGAGGACCTCATCTTGAGATCCTTAACTATATCTGCAAAGACCCTTTTTCCAAATAAGGTCACTATCATGGGTTCTGGGCAGACATGTCTTTCGGGGGCCACCATTTAGACCACTACATCTCATGACTTTTCTGGCCCCCCTTCAGCCTGGCACATGCCTGCCTCTGCTTTTTCTGCCTCTCAGGCTGCTTCTGAGACACTGAGGTGAGGTGGATACTCGGGCACTCCTCCAGCTTCTCCTTGATGTCCTCATTTGAGCCATGCCCTCTGCATTGGCAGGTCATACCTTTCATCACTCCAAGGTCAAGAATTTTTTCCCATATGTGTTCCTCCTCCCCCTCCAGAGCCTCCTTTTTTTCCCCTTGTGTTTTCCCCAGAGCCCGTCAGCCTTCTGGGCAATGCTCTCAGGGCGGCACCTACGAGCATGAGCAGGAGGGGAATGGGAACTGGCCGCACTGCGGGCAAATGGTGTCTTGCTGGGATGCGACCCTATCTGGTCCTCACAGCACACCTATGGGACAGGAATCATTTATCCATTTCATAGGCAAGGAAACCAACTGCCAAGAGGTAAAATTCATTTACCCAAAATACAACATTCTAGGTGATGAAGCCACGATTTGAATCCAAGACCTTCAGACTCAAGCCCACTACACAACTGTTTGCCCTCTGCCTCTCTAAATGCACCTTTCTGTGCATAACACAGAAAGTGTTAGGCACACTCCTATCATAACAATACGAGTCACAGAAGAAAAAACTGATAAACTTGGCTACATAAAAAACATTTCTGGCCTGGACATGGTGGCTTACACCTATAATCCTAGCACTTTGGGAGGCCAAGGTTGGAGGATCACTTGAGCCTAGGAGTTCGAGACCAGCCTGGGCAACATGGCAAGACTTCCATCTCTAACAAAAAAAAAAAAAAAAAATTTTTTTTTTTTTGAGACGGAGTCTCGCTGTGACACCCAGGCTGGAGTGCAGTGGTGCAATCTTGGCTCACTGTAACCTCTGCCTCCCAGGTTCAAGCAATTCTCCTGCCTCAGCCTCCTGAGCACCTGGGATTATAGGCACCCACCACCACATCTGGCTAATTTTTGTATTTTTAGTAGAGACGGGGTTTCACCATATTGGCCAGGCTGGTCTTGAACTCCTGACTTCAAGCGATGAAGTCAGGCTCAAGCGAGAGGATTGCTTGAGTCTGGGAGGTGAAGGCTGCCGTGAGCCATGTTTGCACCACTGCACTCCAGCCTGGGCAAAAGAGTGAGACCCTGTCTCAAAAAAAAAAAAAAGAAAGAAAAAAAGCAAACTCAATGTCATTCATAAGAGAAACGCATACTAAAACTACAGCAAAATTCCAATTTTTTAACTCTAATATTGGCAAAGATAAAAATGTTTTATAACACATTGTGTTGGCAAGGGTGTAGGGAAATAGATACTCATACACTGCTGGTGGCAGTGCTCTCTGTGGGAGGCAATTTGGCAAACTGGATGTTTTAGGAGTCACTCCATTTTATCCTTTATCATGCAATGGTCAGGAGCTTTTTCTATCACCTTAACATGTAATGCAGAAGCCCTTTGATGTGCCCATTCTACTTTCAGGAATTGTCCTACATATAAAATCACATGTACACATAAAGACATATAAACAAGCAAACTCACTGCAGCCTTGTAACTGCCAATGGCTGGAAAGCCCCGAAATCCAGAGAAGCCTGGTTAAATCAATTATGGTGCACTGGGATCCTATACATAGAGATACTATGCAGCTGTTAAAAATAAAGAGACAGCTCAGCCGGGTGCAGTGGCTCACGCCTATAATCCCAACACTTTGGGAGGCTGAGGCGGGTGGATCGCCTGAGGTCAGGAGTTCAAGACCAGCCTGGCCAACGTGGTGAAACCCCATCTCTACTAAAAATGCAAACAATTAGCTGGGCATGGTGGCAGATGCTGGTAATCCCAGCTACTCGGGAGGCTGAGGTAGGAGAATTGTTTGAACCCAGGAGACGGAGGTTGCAGTGAGCTGAGATTGCGCCACTGCACTCCAGCCTGGGCGACAGAGCGAGACTCCATCTCAAATAAATAAATAAATAAATAAATAAATAAATAAATAAATAAATAAGGAGACAGCTCTACAATACAATGGTCTCTAAGATATAGTATGTAATGAAGGCAAAAAATGTGTAGCAGTGTGAGGTGCTGTCATTGGTGTAAAAATACAGAATATAAGTAAATGTGTTTATCCCTGCATAATCCTCCTCTGGGAGGGCATGAAGAACTTGGTTGTCTTTGGGAACATAACTGGGGTAAGGACAGGGAAGGAAGCTTCCTTTTAATGTCTTTTGAGTATTTTACCCATGTGCCTATATTATCTACTCCAATTAATAATTAAAAATAAAGTATTTGGGCCTTGGATACAAACTTAATACAAATAATACCTCTAGGGAGGAAAGAAGAAAAAGTAAAGAGTGAACTCCTTGGGGAGGGCTGATTCTTTCCTGTGATCTAGACTAAACACAGTGTGTAATGCACAGAGCAGGTGCTCAAAAACAGTTGTTGAATGAATTATTGGCTCTAATAAAATTGTGCTTCTGTTTTCTCTTCTAGTCCCAAAGCTGATTTCTATTGATTGATTGCCCCTGAGACTTTTGGAGGCTCTGACTGGATGGCCCTTCCCACCACCGGGGACAGCAGGGTCAAGAGAGAGGGCAGAGCATACCGCACAGGTACGAAGGGAGAGGGCTGTGCACCCTTCTTGGTGTCCTTGGGAGGAGCCACGCAGCCAGGCAGGTTGAGGCCGATGTGGTAATGGACCTGAATGAGCAGGGCCAGGAGCAGCTGAGGGTAGATGCGCCTCACACGGCCCATGCAGCTGTTGACGGACAGGAGCTCGCACAGGCCGCTGGCTGCCTATGGGGCAGAGGGGAGGCTGCTGGGATGTCGTGGCCCATCTTCCCAGCACTCCTGGCTGGGGCCTGGACTGCCTCTCTGGGAGGTAGGATCTGGGTCTTTGCTGTCCTCTGGCCCAGCCTGGGGAAGCTGGGATTCCCCACCCCCCAGCCCCAAACCTCTGGCTCTCTGGCCAGAGGCCCTGTCCCAGAGCAAGGACAACAATCCACCCCTTAGTTTTGGTCCAGGGCTTTGATGTTTATGCAACCTTGGAAGAATCATGGTGGAAGAATCCCTTCTACCTCTTGAGAGGTAAAGAGTCTTGATCTCATTTTGCAGATGAGGAGGCGGACTCAGAGGGGTGAAGCTGCTAGCTCAAGGTCACCAGCCCCTTGGGGGCAGAGCTGGAACTTGAACCCAGGTTTTCTGATACCAACTATAGCGTGCTGTGCCTCTTCCTCATTCACAACACAGGCACACAGAATGTAAGGGGCACCAGGCTGGCCTCTTCACCCTGGGCCATTAAACTAGGCTGTCCTCACTCCCATCCCCATGAGGCCAGCAGCCAAGAGAAACAACACCAGCCTTGAGCAAGAGCATGGCTCAAGTGCCAGCTCTGCCCCCAAGGGCTGGTGACCTGGGGCAACTTCTCCACCTGCCAATCCAGCTCTGGACCTGGCCTGGGCCCACCCTCATACTTGGCCCACCAAGTCCTCTCTAACTGGCAGAAGGGCAATACTAGGGGGTGGGGAGTGGGTGATGGGCTGGTGTCACAAGACTCATGGCTCATTCTGGCTCTACCACTCCCTGGCGCCTCTGGGCCTCAGATCTCTGAAAAGTGGAGTCACTGATCATCATCCGGCCAGCCCCACAGGAGTGTTAGAGCCTAAATGAGAGGGCGAAGGTAAGCATGCTTTATACATAAATGGTTTGAGCTGTGCCATTAGGACTCCATGCAGGCCAGGCACAGTGGCTCATGCCTGTAATCCCAGCACTTTGGGAGGCCAAGGTGGGCAGATCACTTGAGGTCAGGCAGGAGTTTGAGACCAGCCTGGCCAACATGGGGAAACCCCGTCTCTACTAAAAATACAAAAATTAGCCAGGTGTGGTGGCGGGTGCCTGTAGTCCCAGCTGCTCGGGAAGCTGAGGCATGAGAATCACTGCAACCCGGGAGGTGGAGGGGTTGTGGTGAACCAAGATCATGCCACTGCACTCCAACAACCTGGGTGATAGAGCAAGACTCAGTCTCAAAAAAAAAAAGGAGAGAAAAAAAAAGACTCCATGCATCTGGGCCAAGAGGAAAGCATTTAATTGCAAAGTGAAAGAACCCCTGACATGTTCCCTTGGAGAAAAGTGACCTAACATGGGCTGAATGAGAACAATAAATGGCAGTTAATTTGCACTTTACAGCTTAAGAAGTTCTTCCACATACACTATCTCCCCTTTCTCAACAGGTAAGATAGACAATGCAGGAGTTATCATAGCCCATTTTACAGATATAAGCACCAAGGCTAGAGAGGGGAAGTGATTGACCACGGTTATATAGTGAGGCAGTGGCAGAGCTAAGACAAGTCTCTTGGACTCAAAGCCCTTGTACTTTTCCAGCAGCCCAAAGCTAATGATTACATCCAAAGAACACAGTCTGTGGTGTAAGGGAAAAGTCTCTAGTGATGTGCCACAGGGCTTTGCTTTCGGCTCTATCTTGCTCAAACGATTTATCAGTGCCATAAGATAAGAATGAGTTCAGGCTGTATCCATGCTTAAACTATGCTTGCTGGACAAGAAGCACAAATGAGTGACTAAAGAATACACTAACATACACCAATTGTAGAAGAGGATGAATGCCCAAATTGCAAGGGAAGGAGTGCTGGTGCCTTAGGCACAGAACTCAGTGCTGGAGGACAAAGGCAGAGAGATATATGGGAGTGAAGCGCAGGATTTGGAAGCGGAAGATCTGCTGGGTTTGAGTCCTAGCACCACCATTGCTAGCTAGGTGACCTGGGGGGAGACATGGAATGTCTCTAAGCAGGAGCATCCTCCTCTGTAATGGGATAATACTACCCTCTCCTTCATCTACTGTACCTTTATTTACTTCCCTTCACCAGAATGTCTCGCTTCTGAATCCCCAGAACCTATAAGTGTGCTTGGCACATAGTATAGGAGGTGCTCACTAAACACTTATTGAAAAAATAAATCAGCCCAACAAAAACATTTCTGAGTGCTTACTATGCGCCAGGTGTATGCAAGATGTTGGGGATATCATGGTGAGCACAGCAGGACAGCAATGTCTTCATGTGTCTCACAGATTAACCAAAGGATCCCCTGTGGTGTTGTCAAATGACAACTGGTGTAAACTCTTTTCATACAAAGTATGTGACGCAAAATATACTACGTACAGATTTGACCAGGTCAGGGAGATCAGGGAGGGCTTCCCTAAGGAAGTGATGCTGGAGTTGACAGCTGAAGGATGAGTAGAAGTTAGCTCGGTGGAGAGCATTCTAGGTAGAGGAAACAGCATGTGCAAAGGCCCTGTGACAAGATAGCGTGGCTGGATGAAGTTCTGACAAAGACCCGTGAGGCTGGAGCAAAGCAAGCAGGAGGACCATGGAGCGTGGGGAAGCCGGCCAGGGATGCAGGGCCTTCGCCACAGGTAGGAGCACTGTGTCACTCTCAGGGGCAATGCAAAACCATCAAGGGTGCTGAGAAGAGGAGATGTGCATTTCTCAAAGACTTTTTGGCTGCAGTACAGATTGGAGGGGCAGGAGCAGAATCAGGAAGGTAGGCAGGGGTATGGACCAGGGGTATGGACCAACTGGCATGGACCAGGGTGGTGATAGAGACAGAGACAAATCCGTCTCTTCAGCCCAGCCAGCTTCCTGAGTCAGAGCTGCCTTTCGCTCTGTGTTCCCAGGGTCAAGCTTGGAGTGTGGCAGCAAGAAGTGTTTTGTGTCACCTAAATGAATGAATGTGTTATCTCATATAATCTTCACAGCCGCCATATGAGAAAGATATTATTTCTATTCACATATGTAGAAACTGAGCCTCATAGAGGTGGAAGTGACTTACCTAGGCCACAAAATGGTAATGTAGGATTTTTTTAAAAAAATAGAGAAGAGGTCTTGCTATAGTGCCCAGGCTGGCCTCAAACTCCTAGCCTCAAGTGATCCTCTGCCTCCGCCTCCCAAAGTGCTGGGATTACAGGCATGTGCCACCATGCCTGGCCAGAACCAGGATTTAGACTGTCTGTGACTCCAAGTCACTCTTTTTCCCATATCCCAGGCTGCTGTTGTCACCATAGACAACACTACTGTTATTGTCCAGTGAACCACAGACAAGAGCCAGAGCCAGAGACCTGCCCAAGACCACACAACTAGTTACTGGCAGAGTGCGGTACTCGAGGCCGGGTGTGCTTAGCTCAGCAGGAGGGAAGGAGAGAGGAAGGGCAGGACAGGCAGCAATAGGGGCTGGCTGACTGGGTGCTCACCGCCAGGGGCACGATGGAAGCCCGGCCCTCCTTGGTGACGGGCTTCTCCTTCAGGCTGCCCAGGAGCAGATCCAGGAGGTCTCGGACATCACAGCTGGGCTTACACAGTATCAGCTGCCTCCACATCTCTGCTCCATTGCTGAGAGGTCAGGGATGTGGGCAATTAGTGGTGGCCAAGGCAGTGGGGCTAACCCAGCCTCCAAATGGTTTTGGGAGGGGGAAGGTAAGATGCCAATGAAATGGCATCCATGGGCACACCTGCAAGGAATAGTCCAGAAAACACTCCCAAAGAGTCAGGGGCTAGAAGGACAAGAAACCCTATTTCCTTGGTGGGCATGGTGGCTCACACCTGTAATCCCAGCACTTTGGGAGGCCAAAGTGGGTGGATCACCTAAGGTCAGGAGTTTGAGACCAGCCTGGCCAATATGGTGAAACCCCGTCTCTACTAATAATACAAAAAAAATTAGCTGGGCATGGTGGTGCATGCCTGTAATCACAGCTACTCAGGAGGCTGAGGCAGGAGAATCGCTTGAACCCGGGAGGCAGAGGTTGCAGTGAACCAAGATCACGCCAGCAGTGCACTCCAGCCTGGGAGAAAAGAGCGAAACTCCATCTTCAAAAAAAAAAAAAAAAAGAAAGAAAGAAAGAAACCCTATTTCCCAGGTATCATGCCAAATGTTTTACGTTTTACATGCAATGTATTACTTCGGCAGATATTAGCTGAGCATTTACTGTACACCAGGCCCTACGCAAATCTTGGGGAATACAGACATGAACAAGGATTCAAGACACTCAAGATCACTGAATTCTCACAATAACCCTAAGGTGAGTGTTGTTATTCCCATTTTACAAATGAGGAATTGAGGCTCAGAGAGGTGAAATTACCAGTCCAAGATTACACAGCTAATGAGCTGCAGAGTCCAGATATGGCCAGGCCTGATGTCTTCAAAGCCTGTGCTCATTCCTCTAACCAAGGAGCAAGAGTGGAGGCAGTTGAGCAGCCTGGGGCTAGGATCCTGCACTTGTCACATAATATCAGGGAGCCTCTGTTCCCATCCCTTAAAAGGCAGTACACCAGGCAAGGAAAAGCATCTGCACCCAACCAAACTCCTATCATAGGGTGTTGAAAGCACTGGCAGGCCAGTGTACTAAAGGGTTAACAAAAACCTTTCCCCTTCTACAAGAGGGTTTCAACCCTCCATTCACTTTCTAGCTCTGTTCCCCTGGCAACCTGATACAGTATGTCAACTATGTTGCTAGGCAACATTACTTATGGTAATAATGACTCCACTGGTAAATTGCATCTGGACAGGGAGGAACTATAAATTAACTATAAGAACTGATGGGGACACTATAGCATTGAGCTTCCCAGGATGCAGTGACCCTTGTAACTTGGTTTGTCCCTGTGGGGACCCTGGAAGCAAAGCCAAGATGTAAAAGATACTGGTCTCTGTGAGGCCTGTGCCATTTAAGCCAGGGCAGCTCCTATATCCACCCTATAGGTCTCCTTTCGTCACACCTGAACTTTCACCTGAGAGGCCCAAGAGACCAGCTCCTAGACTCAGGGCCAAGACTAGGATAAGGAAAGTGAGGCATCCAGGGTGCCAACTTGAAGGAAGCCCTCATTCTCAGGCTCACACAAGTGCAGACTTGGCACCCGAGACTATGTCCTTAAATGTTATGCCCTGGGTGCCTCTGCCTGGCCTGCTGTGGGGGCTGCTGCAAGGACCCCCGCAAGGAGGAGCTCCTGACACTGCCCTGTCCTGTATCCTGTGTGACGGATGTCAGATGAGGCCCCCAGTAGTCTTATGAGTCTGACTGTTTAGTGGACCCAAGAAAAAAAAAACCCTGGTGGGGAGTACAGCCAGAAAGGGTTTAATTCTTCCAAGTGGGAGACTGGGATGTGCCAGCTGGGCCCTCACCATCCTGACTGATCTTCTTGGTTCCTATGAATGACATCAACTGCCCTTATTGGAGCACACCCCATTTGCACAGCTCTGCACAGTTCTTTGGCTCTCAAACAACCACCCGAAGGTGTGGATCACTCACTGCCTTGTTTTACTCATTCAAAGAAAGCATGGGAGCATTTCCTGGGTGGGAGGCTGAGGCCAGACTGACCTCTCCTGCCCACGAGCTCACCATCTGACCACAGTCCCCTCTGCCCATCAGATCACGAGCTCCCTGAAGACAGTGAGCTTGGAGCACCCTTCCGCACGGGCCCAGGCCTGAGCAGGCACTCAGCACCGCTGGCTGCATTACTGTCATGACCACCCACCTGGGGTGGGATTGCAGGGATCATTTCCTTCTTTTGCCTAAGGGGGAAAGAGAGGACAAATGGGCTACCCAAGACCCACACAGCAGCTGGAGGCAGAGTCAGGACGGACACGCAGACCTCCTTTCAATGGCATTGTTAAAGAGCTCTGGGCTGGTAGTTAGTTAGACCTGAGTTTAGGTCCTCCGTTCTATTGCTTGCTCAGTGAGTACCTAAGGCAAGAAACTTCCCTAAGCCTTGGTTTCCTCATCTGCAGAATGGGATTGTTGTGAGAATTAGAGACTATTGTAATGCTCGGCGCTGACAGCAGCAGTGCTCAGGAAGTGCTTAATGGTTGTCATAAACACCCCAGATCACAGAAGGGGGGCCATCTGGGAGGGCGAGGGGCTTATCTGGGCAGAAGGGGGTCCCCAACCTGGGGTGGGGGCTGCTTGAACCCTGTAAGATGCAGTGGCTGGGAACCCCTTCACTTGGTACCTGTTCAGTGGGAGGGGGCACATGAGCAGGGCCACCACAACCTCGGTCATGAAGGAGCTAGCCAGGAGGGAGACGGGCAGCAGGGCCACCTGGCGGGCCCGAGGCTCCTGGATGTGGCTCAGCTGCATGTAGATGCCTTGCATGATTTCTGGGATCTGGGGCACAGCCGGGGCAGCCATGAGCAAGGGGACTGCCAAGGGAAGCACGGGGGCAGCAGGAAGGTGGGAGGAGAGGGAAGGGGGTGACAGGCTAGAGGACAGGGGAGAAGGCCCAAAGGAGAGAGAGAGGAAGAGGCAAGCAGAGCGCCTGCCCCTCCCTGGGAGTGAGCCAGTTTCTCTTTACTATGCTCCCTATACCTGCTTCCACCGCCAAACCCACCTCTACCCACCACCAAGTCAGTTGAGCTCCTTCAGGGGTGGTAAGAGAAAACCTTCAAGGTGGGAGCACCTAGAACTCAGCCACCAGCACCCCTTCCCTGCCCCATGGCTTAGGGGGTTCAGGTATACCCCACCCTGCCCACTGTCTGGCCGGCCAGTGATGAGCAGGCCATGGGGGGAGCTCCCGAGCCCCAGTGACAGTTCACTCCCTGCCCCCAGGAGGCCTTACCACCTCCAGCGCCCTGTGGCGGTACCACTCCAGCACCGAGCTGAGCATGACCTCCGAGGCCAGCTGCATCATCTCCCTGGAGTCCTTCCCTGGAGCCTCTGAGCTGCCTTTCAGCCCTTCCAGGGCGGCCAGCAGCAGGTCCTTTATCTGCTGGGGCCCCAGGAAGTCTCCAAATTCCTGAAACAAAGGTGCTGAGATCATGACACACTGATGGGTAGCCCGAGCTTTGAGCTTCGAGCTTTGTGCACAGAGGCACAAACACTGCCTGACGCCCACATGCAGAGGTCAGCAGGGAGGGCCAGGAATATTCAGTTAACACATAAGTGTTGAACCTTTAGGGGAGGAGCTACAAAAGTAAGAGCAACATGTCCCTGCACTCAGCACAGGGTGACATGCGTAAGGGAGAAGGAAGTCCATGCACTGTGGCACAGACTGGAGGAGGAGGGCACTCAGGACAGGCGTGGGTGGCTGGGAAGGCGTCCTGCAAAGCCTGGAAAGCTAGAAGGGAAGAAAGCTTTGGGGCCAGGTGGCACTGCCCCTCCTCACCCCCCACCCTCCGCTCCTGGATGGGCACCAGGCAGTCACCTCGATCACCCGCAGAATGTTCTGGCACGGGCTCACAGGGTTGTAGGGCCCCAGGAAATGCTTGTTGCTCTCATATAGCTCCTTTTTGTTGGTCTCTTCCTTATCTCTGGCTCCTGCAAGATGAGAACCTTCTCAGTGAGGCCGGATCTCCCTATTTTTGTTAAACATACATGTAGGAAGTCCCTACATCATAAGGAACTAACTTGATACATTTTCACATAGTGAACACACCATTGTAGCCAGCCCCCAAGTCAAGAAGCAGAACGTGATCAGCACCCCAGAAGCCCCTCTTGTGCACCCCTTTCCATCAATAGCCCTCTCCCTGACCCTGGCTAAATACTATTCTAATTTCTCAACCCTTAGAGAGATGTCTTTGCTTTTGAACTTTAGATAAATGGACACGTTATCCTTGATGTCTGTCTTCTTCTGCTCAACATTATATGGTTGAGATTCATCCACACAGTTGCATCAGCATTAGTTCTTTCATTCATTCTCAGTGCTGTATAATTTCCCACAGTATGAAAGACTATGATTAGTTATCAGTTCTATTTTTGATGGACATTTGGGTTATTGCCAGCTACTAAGCATCGTGCTGCTAAGAACATTCTAGTGTGTCTTTTGATGAGTATATCTACACAGTTGTTAGTTGTATACCTAGGAATGGATTGCTGGGTCATAGTCTAAGCATAGGTTCGGCTACAGAAGATATTGCCAAACAGTTTTCTATGATGGGAAATCAACGGTAACCCCACCAGCAGTGCACGAGAGTTCCCATTGCTCCACATCTTGCCAGCACATGTCATTGTCTGTCTGTTTCATTTATGCCATTCTGGTGGATGTGTGGCAATACCTCTTTTAAACTGCAATCCCCTACCCCTGGTGGTACCAATCCTTTTCTACTTTTCTTTAGTTTTTGTCATCATCTGACTTGCTATATGTGTTACTTGTTTATTTTGTTTACTATCTTATCTCCCGACAACGAGAAGGTACTCTCACCAAAGGAGGATTATTTAATCTCTTTTCCCCACTCCTGTGTCCCCATATCCTAGAATAGTACCCGGCACATAGTGGCTTCATATTTTCAGCTGAAGGGAGCACATTTCAGGCGCACTTCCTGAGCCCTTATTTCAGCCCACCTTGGGTCCTACCTGGATCTCCTCAAGGAATACAGGACGTGGGCACAAGAAAGGGCCACCAAGGCAGAGTGTTCACATAGACCAAGTGTGTGTGCTGTTTGTAAAGGAGAGGAGCTGGATACCTGCAGTCAGGCCAACTCAGGTTCAAATCCTAGCTGTGCTGCTTCCTACAGTCAGGGGGCCTGGACAGACCACTTCACTCATTGAGATTAAATCTTGAGAGTGGCCGTGGGCAGTGGCTCACGCCTGTAGTCCCCACACTTCGGGTTTTTTGTTTGTTTTTGTTTTGTTTGTTTTGTTTTGTTTTGTTTGTTTGTTTTGAGACACAGCCTCACTCTGTCGCCCAGGCTGGAGTGCAGTGGTGTGATCTTGGCTCACTGCAACCTCCGCCTCCTGGGTTCAAGTGATTCTCCTGCCTCAGCCTCTCAAGTAGTGGGGACTATAGGCATGCGCCACCACACGTGGCTTATTTTTGTATTTTTAGTAGAGACAGGGTGTCACCTTGTTGGCCAGGCTGGTCTTGAACTCCGGACCTCAGCTGATCCACCTGCCTTGGCCTCCCAAAGTGCTGGAATTACAGGCGTGAGCCACCGCACCCGGCCTGTAATCCCAGCACTTTGGAGGCCGAGGCAGATGGTTCACTTGCGCCCAGGAGTTCCAGATCAGCCTGGGCAACATGGAGAAACTCTGTCTGTACAAAAAATAAATTAGCGGCTGGGCACAGTGGCTCATGCCTGTAATCCTAACACTTTGGGAGGTCGAGGGGGACGGATCATGAAGTCAGGAGTTCGAGACCAGCCTGACCAACATGGTGAAACCCCATCTGTATTAAAAATATAAAAATTAGCCAGGCACGGTAGTGCATGCCTGTAATCCCAGCTACTCAGGAGGCTAAGGCAGGAGAATCTCTTGAACCCGGGAGGTGGAGTTTGCAGTGAGCTGAGATCGCACCACTGCACTCCAGCCTGGGCGACAAAGCAAGACTCCAGAAAAAAAAAAAAGAAAAGAAAAATTAAATAAGCTGGGCCAGGCACAGTGGCTCACACCTGTAATCCCAGCACTTTGGGAGGCCAAGGCAGTCAGATCACTTGAGATCAGGAGTCCGAGACCAGCCTAGCCAAAATGGCAAAACTCTGACTCTATTAAAAAACACAAAAATTAGCCACCTGTAGTCCCAGCTACTCGGGAGGCTGAGGCAGGAGAATCGCTTGAACCTGGGAGGCGGAGGTTGCAATGAGCCAAGATCGTGCCACTGCAATCCAGCCTGGGCAACAGAGCTACACTCCATCTCAAAAAATAATAGTAATAAATAAATAAGCTGGGCATGGTGGCACGTGCCTGTAGTCCCAGCTACTCTGGAGGCTGAGGTGGGAGGATCACCTGAGCCCGGGAGGTTGAGGCTGCAATGAGCCATGATTGAGCCACTGCACTCCAGCCTGGATGACAGAGCAAGACTCTATCTCAAAAAATAAATAAATCTAAGAGTATGGTTCTTGCCTGCTAAAAAAAGAAAAAAATAAATAAAATCTAAGAGTATAAGTTTGGCCTAGGGTTGCCAAATAACATACAGGATAACCAGTTAAATTTGAATTTCAGATAAACAAATCATTTTTAGTGAAAGTACATCTCAAATATACTAAAAATTACCCATTGTTTACCTGAAATTCAAATTTTACTGGGTATCCTGTATTTTTTATTTGCTAAATCTGGCAACCCTAATTGGGTCTATAATTTCTACTCATTTTCCTTTCTTTCTTTCTTTCTTTTTTAAATGAGCTGCCTCGGCGGGGTGCGGTGGTGCACGCCTGTAATCCCAGCACTTTGGGAGGTCAAGGCGAGCGGATCACTTGAGCCCAGAAGTTCGAGACCAGCCTGGTCTTGAAACCCCAGTATTTTTTTTGTATTTTTGGTAGAGATGGTGAAACCCCATCTCTACCAAAAATACAAAAAAAATTTAGCCAGGCATGGTAGCATGCTCCTGTAGTCCCACTTACTCAGGAGGCTGAGGTGGGAGGATTGCTTGAGCCTGAAAGATTGAGGCTGCAGTGAGCCGAGATCGTGCCACCGCACTCTAGCCTGGGCAACAGAGCAAGACTCTGTCTCAAAAAAAAAAAAAAGGCAGCGTCCCGAGCCAGAATAGGCTCACAGAGGCTCCTACTCCTACCCCTAAAGCTGGTTATTAACATGGCTTATACCACCTTCATCCATCCTCCAGAGATGTGAGTGGCTCCTGGTCAACAGGGTAAATCTCCCAGGGACCAGATCTTTGTCCCAAATGCTAGAGATCAAGAAGAGTGAGGATACCAGATAAATCCCAAAAGCTTGAAGGGATAGGAAAAAGTGAACTACATGACAAGTGCCTATAATGTGTGGCACTGAGCTAGTACCTTTACATATGCTCTTACAAAATATCTCACTTAATCTTTCAAAAAGCATGAATTTAGGCTAGGCATGGTGGCTCCTGCCTATAATCCCAGCACTTTAAGAGGCTGAGGCAGATGGGTCACTCGAGGTCAGGAGTTTGAGACCAGCCTGGCCAACATGGTGAAATCCCGTCTCTACTAAAAATATGAAAATTAGCTAGGTGTGGTGATGTGTGCCTGTAATCCCAGCTACTGGGGAGGCTGAGGCAGGAGAATCATTTGAACCCAGGTGGCAGAGATTGCAGTGAGCCAAGATTGTGCCACTGCACTCCAGCCTGGGCAACAAAGCCAGACTCTGTCAAAAAAAAAAGCATGAATTATGAATTATATCTGAGTATACCATTTTCACAGATGAGGAAATCTAGGCCTACACAAAGTGATTACCTGAGGTCACACCACTAAGCAGCGATAGGAGCAGCTCTTATGCAAAGGTCATTCTACCCCCAGAGCCAGGAGAGTTTAAACCACATGCCAAGGTGCCCTGGTTTAGGGCAGAGCTAGGATGATGGAGAAAGGAAGGAGGCAAGTGACAGCTGATACTGTGCACCTCTAGGTACAATGCCTTCTGGATACCTGTGTCAGCCCATACCACATCACGAAGTGCTCCCTGAAGCTGAATCAAGGAAAGTTCTCCCAACTACAAGCTTTAGCTGCTCTGGATTCTAAGACAGAAGCTGTTCTTTATTCATTCATTCAATAGATATTCACTGAGCACCCACCATGTGCCAAGCCCAGAGATGGCCCTTGGGAATACAGGGGTGACCAAGATACAGCCCTGCCCTTCCCTCATAGGATTATAGTCTCTAGTGGGGAAAACAGACAGGAAAACAAGGTATTAGGGGAATTATCCTTAGGTATACATAGTATTAAGGGACTATGAAAATGACAGTCACAAACTAAGCTTGGAAGGATGAGAAAAAGCAAGATTGCTTAAATCAAAATAGTTTTGTTTGTAGCCTTTGTCCCCTGGTTCTCTGGGGTCTTGGGCTTCACACCAGTTTCCACAGTCCCCATCTGGCCCTGTGCTGGTTTCCCCCATCTCCCACCAGTGCCTTAATGCCAAGGCTCCAGCTGATTCTTTATTGAATCCAGACTGAGCAACAACTCAGAAGACTTCCTTCAGAAGTACTCCGATAGGGCTTACGTTTTTGGAGCTCCAGAATAGTGTAGAGGATGATGATGCCGTCCAGAGCCTCACAGCCAATCTCCTCATCAGGATCCCCAATGTGAAGGATGAGTCTCCCCAGCAGAAGCCCCAGCGCCGGGAACCCCAAGGGCATCTGTTTGTATTGCAATCTTAGGGATTGAGTGTTATAGGTTCAATAATGCTATACATTAAATGGTGAACACCGGTGGATAGTCTGGCCCAGATAGCACAGCCCTCTGAAGATGGCAAGAGCCACCTGGGAATCCCTGAACAGAGGTACGGGCTCCTTCAGAAGTGGGAAGATTTTCCCTAAGAGTGTCCACCCCTCCCAGGGGCCACTCACAAAGAAAGGCAGAGTTAGAAGCATGTGGTTCAACACAGAGACATTGGTGTTCACAGCCCGTGCTCGCTCATGGGCCTTCCCAGAGTTCATCCAAGGCCCCAGGGCCTGTGGGATCAAAAGCAAGACTCAGAACTACAGGTTAGATGACAGCCCCTGCTGCTGGGTGGACAGGCCAGCCTTCACCCATCAGCAGGAAGCTTCCAGAGAGGGTATAAAGGTCACCACAGCCCTCCTCCTCTTCTTGGGGTATAGGCAGAGATAGAGTTCAGAATAGGACTGACAGACTATAGGGAAGAAGGAAGTCAATGAGGAGACAGATGAAGAGTGAAGAGTCATGAAGACAGAAGAGAGACGCAGGGACAAGCATGGGAAGAGCACAGAGATGGTGGCAGCTATAACCATGGGCAGCCATTTAGAGAGTGGGGGGATGGGGAGAGAGTGGGGAGAGGCAGGAGTCTGGGACAGGGCCTGTGAGACAGACAGGGAGGCAGAACACTCACACAAGATGACATCCTGAAGCCAAATCACTCCTAGGTCTGGCCTCCACTGCTCCTGCACCAATTTCTCTCTTCCCTCCACCCTTCCTCCCCTCCCTTCCTTGCCCCTCCCATCTCCGCACCTCCAAGATGCTCTTCAGCCCAGCAGGAGTGGGGTCCTCGATAAAGAGGGCTTTGAGCAGTGTCTGCAGGGCCTCCAGGGTCTGATGGTAAAGAGCCTGTGGATGGGAGGAGGACCAAGCCACTAAGGCACCTCTGGAGCGGACACCAGCCCCAGGCGGCCCCTGGTGTAGGTCAGGGGAGGAGGGGGAATTAAGACCCAGGAAAGCTGCTTTCTGGTCCCACCTCTGAGACTAACTTGATGTGTAATGTTGGGCAAATTACTTCCCCTCATGGGTTACAGTTTCCTTATCAACAATTGCTAATTATTATCTCTGCACTTTCTACCTTAAAGAGGAGGGAAGCGGAGATCCAGCATATACTGAGAATCTACCATGGACCAGGTGGCTACCTGGTGATTTGCCACCTTGTCCACAAATTGTTTTTCTCATTTTACAAATGAAGGGACAGGGACACTTGTCCAAGATCACAGAACAAGAAGTTTCAAGTCATGAGGAGCAAATGAGAGGATGGATGAGAAAATGCTCTGGAACCGCAAGAGCTGGATCAATGAAAGAGCCAATCTTACTTTCATCATCTCCGGGGAAATGCTCTGATTCTTTTTTGAATTGCTTCTCCTAGGCCCAAATACGTTTTCCAAGTTGCCCCTTAAGGAAGCCATCTCTCTCCTGCCTAGGTTTCTCATCCCTTACCCACACCACCATCCCAGAATTGTCTTATGGTTACCAGCATTACATGTACACGAGGCTGGGCAGTGGGTTTGAGTTACTCTGAGAAGACCCTCTCTTTTTTGCCTCCCCTCGTCCTGCCAGCTCCCTAAGTGTGCCTCCTAGGTTGTTATTGTCTAGACTCCCTGAGTCTGCACACACCCTGAAGCCAGTGGTCCTTGGGGTTATACCACAACCACCAAGAAAGCCTGGCTCACCACCTGCCTCCTCCTTCCTGCCCATCTCTGCAGATTACTATGCAGCACTGTCCTCTGCTGGCTAAATCTGATACTACAAGAGGGCGGCCTCCTTTTTTCAGTCACCCCCACAACCCCAGTCTTCTCCAAGGGCACCACCTCCGGGATGCTGGCATTCCAGCCTCACTTCCCAGAACTCTCACCTCACCCTCTGGGCTCCAGTCACACTGCCACTTTGTCATCCTCTGCCTGGAATGCTATTCCTTCTGCCACCCTCTGTAGCTAATTAGCTCTTCTTTAACCTCTCAGTTTCACAATCACAACCCCTGACCCCCATCTAGGCCTTCCCCTCCCCTCTGCCCCACCATTGCAGGCTCTTTATAGCACCAAGTACTTCTGGCTTGCAGCATTTATGATTGGTGTAATTTTGCACTTATTCGTATTTATTTATTTGATACCATCCATCTCCCCCACACTCACCTCACCTGTAAGGCTCCTGTGCTGAGTTCAGCATGGAGTAGGTACTGAGTTACTATTTGCTAAATGAAGTGATGAATGAATGTGCTGCACCCTGCGCTAAAACCCTTTGCCTTAACCTTCCCCACTGACCCTCACTCCCCTTCATCCTACCCTGAGGGTCACCTCCACCCCTCCTCCCAGGAATGCCTGGAGAGGTTTGAAGATGCTCGCATGAGCCCCCTGAGGTTCTGCTTCTCCAGGCCTCATCCCCAGTTCCCCCAGTCTGTCTTCATTACAGCCTAAGCCTCAGCCCTGCCCCTCCCAATCCTGGCCGCTTCCCCTGGCCATACCGTCATCTGCCCACATCCCTCCCATAGGGCAGGGCCCAGAAGTGGACAGGATGGGTGTTTTGTTTCATTTTGTTTTGAGACGGAGTCTCGCTCTGTCGCCCAGGCTGGAGTGCAGTGGCGCAATCTCGGCTCACTGCAAGCTCTGCCTCCCGGGTTCCAGCCATTCTCATGCCTCAGCCTCCTGAGTTGCTGGGCCTACAGGCGCCCGCTGCCACGCCCGGCTAAGTTTTTTTTTTCTTTTTTTGTATTTTCAGTAGAGACGGGGATTCACCGTGTTAGCCAGGATGGTCTCAGTCTCCTGACCTCGTGATCCACCCGGCTCAGCCTCCCAAAGTGCTGGGATTACAGGTGTGAGCCACCGCGCCCAGCTGGGTGTCTTTATTTGAATGATTCATCCCTTCACCATTTATCAAGTACCTACTCAGACCAACAGAAGTCAGTTGAATTGCCCAAGGCCACAGACCAATGAGCCGGAGGATGCAGCTCCATATCTCCTCCCAGAACATGGGCCAGCCCTGAGGCCCTGCTGGGAAGGTCCCGCCTCACCTGGATGGTCTCAGCCTTGGCCTCGTCCTTCTCCTGCATCGCCTGCACGGAGGGCAGGGAGAACACGCTGTGCACACACACGTTCACCAGCTCCGACCTCTCCCGCATGCCCAGGGTGGGCTGGGTGTGGCTGGAGAAGAGGCAGAAAGCAAAGAAATGGAGTGAGAGAGGGGCCCTATGGCTATAGACGGGGGCTGAGCTGAGGAGCACAGGGACTGGGCAAGGGGAGGGGAAAAGGCACCGGGCGAGGGGTGGGGGCGGGTTGGGGGAGGGTACAGCGAAGAGATGGAGGGAGGCAGAAGTGGAGGAAGAGAGGAGAGGGGCTGTGGGAACAGGGAGAGGGCCATGGACACCTCAGCTGGGTCAGGATCTCCATGGCCTGCTTGCGGACGGAGCTTGAGAGAGAATCCAGTGGCTCCTCCTGGATCTGCCTCTGGACAGGGGGCCACAGAAGGGCCGATGAGGACAGGGCTACTGCAGGCCACCAGGGCCAAGGCTGCCCCCGTCACAAGGAGCAGGTCACAGCAGCCAGCATACCCTCAAGTGCTCCTCCCGCCTCAGCTTCCCAAGTAACTGGGACTATAGGCTCATGCCACCACACTTGGCTAAGTATTTTTATTTTTTGTAGAGGCAGAGTCTTGCTATGTTGCCCAGGCTGGTCTCAAACTCCTGAGCTCAAGCCATCCTCCTGCCTTGGCCTCCCAAAATGCTGGGATTAAAGACATGAGCCACCATGCCTGGCCTCCAAGAGGCATATTCAAACTATGGAACTGGTCCAAAGCAAAAACCACTATGTGTGGCCCTTGAAAACTGCCCAGTTGCATTCCTTTAAAATGTTTTTTTGTGTTTTTTTTTCTTCTTTTTAAGATGAGACCTCATGATGTTGGCCAGGTTCATCTTGAACTATTTTTTTTTTTTTTTTTTTTGACATGAAGTCTTGCTCTGTTACCCAGATTGGAGTGTAATGGCACAATCTCGGCTCACTGCAACCTCTGCCTCCCTAGCTCAAGCGATTATCTTGCCTCAGCCTTCTGAGTAGCTGGGACCACAGACACGTGCCACCATGTCCGGCTAAGCTTTTTTTATATTTTTAGTAGAGATGGGGTTTCGCCATTTTGGTCAGGCTTGTCTCGAACTCCTGACCTCAAGGGATCCACCTGCCTTGGCCTCCCAAAATGCTGGGATTACAGACGTGAGCCACCACACCTGGCCAAATGTCCATTTCTTTAAGATACAGAATTAGTTGGGTGTGGTGGCACATACCTGTGGTCCCAAATCTCGAGAGGCTAAGGCGGGAGGATCCCGTGAGCCCAGGAGTTTGATGCTGCAGTGGGCCATAATGGCGCCACTGCACTCCAGCCTGGGTGACAGAGCATGATCCTGTCTCAGAATAAAGTATGTCCTTCTAATTGCTTCTCATTTTTGATCTAGCACCTACACATAGCAGATGTTCAATTAATGTTAGTTAAATGAAGGTATGGAGGGCAAGGACTTTTTTGGTTGTCTCTGTAAAGTACACAAACACAGATATAATTTTGGAAGCTTCAGTGGTTATTCAGTGGTTATTCCTGCCCAGTCCATTCTGGTGGAGTGACTGTATTTATCAAAATGATGAGGAAACTGCCTAAAGTTGCCCACCAGAAGGAATTGCTGGGAAAAGAATGTATTAAGTAATAAGAAATGCTTCTGGGTGTACAAGCCTTTACTGTAGACTAAGCATTGGGTTGTGTCCTCCCAACAAGCCAATGGCACAGGTATTATCACACCCATCTGTGAGATGAGAAGAGTGAGGCTCAGAACTTGCCTGAGCTCCCTCTGTGTAGGTGGAGGGCAGTTCGAGGTGGAGCTGAGACTCAATTCCCGATGTCCTGCCTCCTCATCCCGTCCTCTTCCTACCTCAACCTCCCACCCCTGCGGTCTCATCAGTGGGTGGACTCAGGAATTCTGCCCCCTCCCACCCCAATGCCACAGACCCGCCTGTGGCTCCCCCACCATAATCTTCTTTATCATGGTCTTCTTTTCTCCTTCTGCCTCCAGCAGATCCTGGCTCTTCTGAAGGGTGGTGACATTCTCAACCTAGGGGACAGCAGAGGGCAAAACCTCAGAGTGAGAGACCCACTGAGCCCAGTCCTCAGGGGTTGCCCATACAGCACTGTTAACCACCCGACACCTACAGGCAAGCCAGCATTGGTGCAAGAGAAATGAGAGGTCCCCACAAGGGGAGCTTGGGGTGGGGTAAAGATTGGAGAATATTGAGGGGTTGGAGGAGTTAATCCTGAATGCCAGCATTTGGAAGAGGACCAGATATGAGGGACTGCAAAGTACTCCCCCCTTCTCCAGTCAGCTAAGGAGGGGACAGAAAGGGCCCCAATCCCTCAACCTGAAATTGCACCATTAGTAACACTTCATATGGGTCTCCCAGTACATACAAGTCAGATTGAGGCATTCTGCTACCTGAGAGAGAGAACACATTAACCAATATCCAACTAATCTCTCCGTTCTCATCATGTTAAGGGAGAAGAAGGAAAATAAACAATGACCATGAAATAAGAAAACTAATTTCATATAGTAAAGAAGAAAATACAAGTTAATTTGATGAGGTGTGTGGCATATTGAAAATGGCTGCAAGTTCTTTTCTGCTCCTCCTATCCAAAGGACAGATTCCTCTTGAATCTTGGCTCATTTTACAACTTGCTTTGAACAGCAGAATAATGTAGAAGTGATGCTGGGCCAGTTCCTGGACTAGTCCTTAAGGAAACTGGAAGCTTCCACTTTTTCCCTCTGGAACTCAGCCACTGTGCTGCCAGGAAGCCCAGGCTAAAAGACAATGATTACAGACCATGCAAAGAGAGGCCCTGGAAAATGAGAGGGTCATCTTGAATATTCCAGTCCCACTGAGTGATCTCAGTCTATACTGTGGAGCAGAAGAAACACCCAGCTAAGCCCAGTCAAACTTCAGAATCATGAGAAATTGGGCCTTTCCAATTCTAATGCCCCCAGCACCCAGGCTGGAATGCAGTGATGCAGTCACAGCTCGCTATAATCTCGAATTCCTGGGCTCAAGCAATCCTTCAGTCTCAGCCTTCTGAGTAGCTAGGACTACATGGACTACATAGGACTACTGGGCCACCATGCCCAGCTGATTTTTTTTTTTTTTACTTTGTAAATTTTTGTAGCTGGGCATAGTGGCTCATGCCTGTAATCCCAGCAACTTGGGAGGCCGAGGTGGGCAGATCACCTGAGGTCAGGAGTTCAAGACCAGTCTGACCAATATGATGAAACCCTGTCTGTACTAAAAATACAAAAATTAGCCGGGCATGGTGGCATGTGCCTGTAATCCCAGCTACTTGGGAGGCTGAGACAGGAGAATCACTTGAACCCAGGAGGCAAAAGTTGCAGTGAGCCGAGATCACACCATTGCACTCCAGCCTGGGCAACAAGAGCTAAAACTCCAACTTAAAAAAAAAAAATTGTAAACACTGGGTCTCACGATGTTGCCCAGGTTGGTCTCAAACTCCTGGCCTCAAGTGATCCTCCCACCTCAGCCTCCCAAAGTACTGGGATTACAGGTGTGAGCCACCATCCCTATCCCAGAGTGAACTTTTAAACCACTAAATTCTGGGGTGGTTTGTTAAATAGCAATAGGTAACTTAAACTGTAAGAGTGATGACAGAGGGATGGCTAATTTAATCCAAATGGTCAGAGAAGACCACTCAGAGGAGTTAACACCTGGGCTGAGTCCTAAATGACAAGAGCTAGCTATGCAAAGAACTAGGGGGAAGGCCTGTGTGTCTCCCCAAACTAGAATGTCAGGTCACACCATTGTTGTATTCCCAGTGCCTGAAACAGTGCCTGGCACATAGTAGAGGCTCAATTAAATGTGTTGAATGACAGTGTTAGGGCTCAGAAACTGATACCCCACAATATGGTGTTTGGACACACTGAATTGAAGAAGCTTCCAGGTCTTTCTGATCTCTCCCAAAGTACAAGATGAAGTCAAAGTTCCTTGATTTGCCTAAGATCCAGATCTACCAAGGAGATCAGCTGTTGTTCCTTCCCTTCCCTATAAGACCAAGAATGTAACCACATCTGAACAGACCCTTTCACAAGATAATCTCTGTTCCTGATCCATTAATTCTTGCTACTAATCCCTTATTGCTCCTCAACAGAATTCCTCTTCTCTTGCTGGGTGTGGTGGCTCACTGCTATAATCCCAGCACTTTGGAAGGCTTAGGCAGGAGGATGGCTTGAGCTCAGGAGTTCAAGACCAGCCTGGGCAACATAATGAGACCTCACCTCTAGGCAAAAAATTAAAAAAAAAATAGCCCAGGGCCGGGCACAGAGGCTCATGCCTGTAATCCCAGCTACTCAGGAGGCTGAGATGGGAGGATTGCGTAAGCCTGGGAAGTTAAGGCTGCAGCAAGCCAAGATTGCACCACCGCACTCCAGCCCGAGTGACAGAGCGAGACCCTGCCTCAAAAAAAAAAAAAAAAAAAAAAAAAAATTCCTCTTCTCCCGCCTCCTATAACCTGTTTTGCCAGGATCCAAGCCCCCATTTTTTCTGTAACCTCAAAATGGTATATAAGTTTCTGAGCCCTCATTGGGGGGCAGGTAATCACTCTGTGCTTCTCTCCGTGTACTCATTAATAAATGTGTGTACATTTTCTCCAATTAATCTGCCTTTGTGAGTTGATTTTTTTCAGCAGACCTTCAGAGGATGAAGGGGACATTTTCCCTTGGCCCCTATGACATCAATAAGAAGTCTTCTTTTTGCAGGCGCCATGGTAGGTGCTGTGCATATCATCTGGCATGGGCCTCACTTCAGCTTTGTTGTGCCCATTTTATAGAACTTTCCTGGCAGAAGAAACACGTGCAAAGGCCCTGGGGCAGGAATGAGTTTGGCGTGTGTGAGAAACAGAAAAAGGCCAGTGTGGCAGGAACACAGTGGACAACTAGAAGGACGCCATGGGATGAGGATAAATGCTCCCTGAATGCAGGGCCTCCTCTTAGTCCAGTCACTTCTCCCCATCTCCGCCCTGCACTGCCCCAGGGACTGAAGCTTGGCCCTGAAGCAGCCTGCAGGCAGGACCTGCCTCCTGCATGTCTGGGCCTGGATGGATCCCCCACCTCCTCCACATTGTGTCCATCAAGCAGCCTTGTCCACACTCCCTGTGTCGCACTCACGTCCACCGGTTTGTCTAGTCTTCCCCACTGGCCATCTCCAAGTCCTGCAGATGCAAGTGTGCCTCACCTGCTGGACTGGTCTTCTTGGGCCTCCTGAGCCTGCCACATGGCCCAGACCTGGGTTGGGCCTGACTGTCCTGAAAAAAGGCCACTTCTAGACTTTCTGCCCCTTTCAGAGCCCCTCTCACAATTCATTCAATTGTTTAAAAATATTTTATTGAGCATCTATTATGTGCCAGGCACCGTTCTAGGTGCTGAAGTTATAGCTGTGAATAACAGACAAAAATGCCCGAGTAATGGAGGATATGTCCTTGTGGAGGAGATGAACAAGAAAGAAGATGAATAAACAAAGCATATGGCACATCAGACGGCAATGAATGTTATGGAGAAAAGGAGAGCTGGGCAGAGGCATGGGGAATGCGGAGGCTGCTGGGCTGGGGGGTAGGGGGTTGGCAGGATGGAAGTATCCCAGCACAGTCAGCTAGGGGTTGGGCAGGAGGCATACCAGAGCCATGTTGTTGCCACCTTCTGTCTTCTCTGGCACCTTCACCAGGCATGAGGTCACTTCATCAAAGGCTCCTGCAGGGCACGATTTCAATGAGAAGGTGGATAAAGCTGTGATGTACCTAGGATGCCATCATGCCATCTCTCTCCTCCCCCTCTAGGCACCTCCAATCCTTACCCCACCCCAGCAGCCACACTGAGCTTTCTTTTCTTTTCCTTTTTTTTGAGACAGTCTCACTCTTATTGCCCAGGCTAGAGTGCAAGTGCAATGGCGCTATCTCGGCTCACTGCAAACTTCAACTTCCGGGTTCAAGTGATTCTCTTGCCTCAGCCTCCCAAGTAGCTGGGATTACAGGCACCCGCCATCACACCCGTCTAATTTTTGTATTTTTAGTAGAGATGGGGTTTCACCATGTTGGCCAGGCTAGTCTCGAACTCCTGCCTCCAGTGATCCACTCGTCTCAGCCTCCCAAAGTGCTAGGATTACAAGTGTGAGCCACTGCACCCAGCCTACACTGAGCTTTTAAGTGTACATCAGCTCATGTCACCCCCTCCCTAAAATCCTTCAGTGACACTGCATTTCATTGAGCACAAAGCCAGCATCCTTGCCAAGACCCTCAATGCCCTGCCTGGTCGGCTGTGCCCTGCCCTCCTCTGCAGCCTTATCTCCCACCACTTGCCTGCTTCACTATGCTTTGGCCACACCAGCCTCCTTCCAGAACTGGGCACATTTCCCCTCAGGGCCTTTGCACGGTGGTTCCCTCTACCCGGGCCACTGCTCGCCATACCTCCTTGCCCCACTAAGGCTCTCCTTCAGGCCTAGGCTTGCCTGCCAGTCCTGAGAAAGGCCACCCCCACCCTGGGGCTCTGCAAAGGCCACTATGGTCTTGTCGTGCATTGTCCGAATCTCTTCTTTCAGCAGGTACCACAATTCATAGCTAAACACCTACTTGTTATGAGAGGCATCTGCTGTTCTGTCAGCCCCCAATCTCTTCACTTTCTTTTGGTGAAAGAGCCTCATCTTTCCTGGGTGCACCCTATTCCATGTAGCTAGGTGAAGCTGGATTCCTCAAGACACACCCAGCACCCACTCTTCAGATAGGTGTGGGCCTGGGACCCAAGCTCCACTCCTAAGAGTGTCCCATGCCTCCAGCCACAGCGATTGGTCCAGGGATGAAAACTTACTGGGCAGGACCAATAGAGTCCTTTATTTAAGGGAGTTGAGGGGAACACCAAAGGAGAGAGGATCTTTCTCCTTCTGAGGACAAGGTCACTGGGGCCTATGAAAACCTGGAACTTCAGATTCTCGATCACCAGAGGACGCTGGAGGATGGAGAAGTAGATACACCAATTGTAGTGAACACAGCCAACACCAAGATCTTAGCTTCTAAATACCTTTCCCCACTAAAAGGAACAAGGCTCCTTGGAGAAAAGGTCGATTCCAGGACTCAAGCAGGGAAAGTCCAGGATGAACCTGAGACACCTGAATGATAAAGACATGTCAAATGTCAAAGGGACACAAAAGCTTGTTTTTTTTTTGTTTTTTTTTTTTTTTTAGAGCTGATGGGGGCCGGGCACGGTGGCTCACGCCAGTAATCCCAGCACTTTGGGAGGCCAAAGAGGGTGGATCATCTGAGGTCAGGAGTTTGAGACCAGCCTGGACAACATGGTGAAACCCCACCTCTACTAAAAATACAAAAATTAGCTGGGCAATGGTGGTGCACACCTATAATCACAGCTACTAGGGAGGCTGAGGCAGGAGAATCGCTTGAACCCAGAAGGCAGAGGTCTCAGTGAGCCAAGATCGCACCACTGCATTCCAGCTGAGGCAACAGAGCAATATTTCATCTCAAAAAAAAGAAACAAGAGCTCGGGGCTCTCGCCATGTTGGTCAGGCTGGTCTTTACAAAAGTTTGCTTGAAGGGGAGTCCACTGATCAAATTGAGAAAAAGTTGAGTATCACAATAAATTGTGAAAAAAACGGATTATAGCCCATTGAATAAACTAACAAACCTTGAGTCCATACTATACAAATAAATAAATAAATAAATAAATGGAAAGTTTGATGAGGAATGGGATATTCACATAGTTTCAAAGTACCTGACCACACGATATTTACTACAAAGGGGTAAATATTGACTTCACACTGGAAAACCTTGGCAGCAACCATCCTACTCAAGTGATGAAAGCAAACAGCATCAGTAACAAACAAATCAAAATTATGAGGCACCAGACAGGATGCAATGAGAAAAACCCAGCGTCACTTCTGTGCTATTCCTGCCAAAAATGCATGGCCTGAATCTAATCATGAGCAAGCATCAGACAAATCGAAACTGAGGCACATCCTACAAAAATAGCTTGCCTGTCATCTTCAAATGTATCAAGGACAAGAAAGTCAAAGAAAGGCTGAGGACTGCAGGAGACAGATCAGACTAGAAAAAACGTACAATGAGTGGTTCTGAACTGGATCCTCTTGCTGTAGAGAACATTACTGGGAAAATTGGTGACTTTTGAATAGGGCCTGAGGATTATATGGTAGCTGTGTATCAGTATTAATTACTCGATTGTGATAGTTATATTTTATCCTTTTTTGTAAGAAGTACACTCTGAAATTCAGGGGTGATGGGGCATCATTTGGAAACTTATTCTGAAATGATTCAGGGAAAAAAATTTATAGTACGTTTTCAACTTTTTTTTTTTTCTTTGAAATGGAGTCTCACTCTGTTGCTTAGGCTGGAGTGCAGTGGCGCCAATCTCGGCTCACTTCAACCTCCACCTCCCAGGTTCAAGCAGTTCTCCCACCTCAACCTGCTGAGAAGCTGGGTTTACAGGTGTGTGCCACCATGCCCGGCTAATTTTTGTATTTTCAGTAGAGACAGGGTTTCACCATGTTGGCCAGGCTGGTCTTGAACTGCTGGCTTCAAATGATCTGCCCGCCTCGGCCTCCAAAAGTGCTGGGATTACAGGCATGAGCCACCACACCCAGCTCAACTTTTCTCTAAGTTTTGTTTTGTTTTGTTTGCAGATAGGGTCTTGCTCTGTCATCCAGGCTGGAGTGCAGTGGTGCAATCATGGCTGACTGTAGCCTCGCCCTCCTAGGCTCAAGTGATCCTCCCACCTCAGCCTCCCAACTAGTTGGCACTACAGGCCCACGCTACCACATTTGGCTAATTTTTACATTGTTTGTAGAGATGGGAGTCTCACCATGTTGCCCAGGCTGGTTGCAAACTCCTGGGTTCAAGCAATATTCCTGCCTCGGCCTCCCAAAGTGCTATGTATTACAGGTGTGAGCCACCATGCCCAGCCCTAGGTTGGTTTTTTAAAATCATTTAAAAAATATTTTTAAGGCCAGGGGCGGTGGCTCACACCTGTAATACCGGCACTTTGGGAGACCAAGGCAGGTGGGTCACCTGAGGTCAGGAGTTCAAGACCAGCCTAGCCAATGTGGCGAAACTCCGTCTCTACTAAAAATACAAAAATTAGCTGGGCATGGTGGCGGGCGCCTGTAATCCCAGCTACTCAACAGGCTGAGGCAGGAAAATCACTTGAACCCAGGAGGCAGAGGTTATAGTGAGCCAAGATTGCTCCACTGCACTCCAGCCTGGGCAACAAGAGCAAAACTCTGTCTCAAAATAAACAAACAAACAAACAAACAAACAAACAAATAATATTTTTAAGTACCTACTATATGACCAGTACTGTTCTAAGCACAGATTATAAAAGTGAACAGGGCCTGACGTGGTGGTTCATGCCTGTAATACCAGCACTTTGGGAGGCCGAGGTGGGCAGATCACCTGAGGTCAGAAGTTCGAAACCAGCCTGATCAACACGGAGAAACCCCATCTCTACTAAAAATACAAAATTAGCCAGGCATGGTGGCACATGCCTGTAATCCCAGCTACTCAGGAGGCTGAGGCAGGAGGATCACTTGAGCCCAGGAGTTTGAGTCTGCAGTGAGCTATGATTGTGCCACTGCACTCCAGCCTGGGCAACAGAATAAGATCTCATTTCTTTAAAAAGTTTAAAATTAATTTAATTTAAAAATAAATAAAAGGCTTCACCAAGCCACAGACTTGGAGAAAAGAGTCAAAATTCATGTATCTAACAAAGAACTCATATCTGAATTACATAAAGAATTCCCACAAACCAATAAGAAAAAGAGACAACCCAACTTTTTTAAATGAGCAAAATGTACATGCCGTTCCCTTCTGAAATTAAAAAAAAAAAAAAAGCACAAAACGTTTGAACTGGTACTTCACAAAAGAGGATACGCAAATTGACAATAATCATGTAAAAAGATGCTTAACATCAGTAGTTATCAAGATATGCAAATTAAAACCACAATGAACTATCACTAGACAGAAATCCCCTAGAATGACTATGATTTTTTATTTTTCTCTTTTTTTTCTTTTTTCTTTTTTTTCTGGAGATGGAGTTTTGCTCTTGTTGCCCAGGCTGGAGTGCAATGGTGCAATCTCAGCTCACCGCAACCTCCACCTCCGGGGTTCAAGTGATTCTCTTGCCTCAGCCTCCTGAGTAGCTGGGATTACAGGCATGTGCCACCATGTCTGGCTAATTTTTTGTATTTTTAGTAGAGTTGGGGTTTCTCCATGTTGGTCAGGCTGGTCTTGAACTCCTGACCTCAGGTGATCCGCCTGCCTCAGCCTCCCAAAGTGCTGGGATTACAGGCGTGAGCCACTGCACCCGGCCTGACTACAATTTTTTTAACTGATAACACCAAACCTTGGTGAGAATGTGGAACAATTGAAACTCACATTGTTTGTGGAAGCGTAAATTAATTCAGTCATTGCTGTGGTTTGAATATTTGTGTCCCCTTCAAAATTCATGTTGAACTTAATCTCCAATACAATAGTATTAAGAGGCAGAGACTTTAGGAGGTTGTCAAATTATGAGGGCTCCACCGTCTAGAATGGGATTAAGGCCTTTATAAAAGAGGCTTCATACAGAGTTCAGCCCCTTTTTGTCCTTCCACCTACCACCATGTAGGGATACAGCAAGTGGGCCCTCTCCAGACACCAAATGCTGCTGCCTTGATCTTGGACTTCCAGTTTCTAGAACTGTGAGAAAATAAATCCCTGTTGTTTATAAATTACTCAGTCTCAGGCATTTTGTTATGGCAGCACAAACAGACTAAGATTACCACTTTGAAAAACTGTTTGGCAATATCTCTTAAAGCTATAAATACGCCTGCACTATGACCCAGAAATTCTACTCTGACATAAATAAGTGTATCTCTGCACCAAAAGTCATGGTCAACAACATTCACAGCTACTTTATTAATAACATCCAAAAAATAGGAACAATTCTAATGTCCATCAGCAGCAGAATGAATAAACAAACTGTGGTATATCCATACAATGGAATACTACAGAACACCAAAAAACAATCTACTATTGAAATACACAATATGGATGAATCCAACAGACATAATGTTGCACTAAAGAAGCCAGAGTCAAAACAGTAAGTACAGCCGGGCACAGTGGCTCACGCTTGTAATCCTGGCACTTTGGGAGGCCGAGGCAGGTGGATCACCTGAGGCTGGGAGTTCAAGACCAGCCTGACCAACATGCAGAAACCTTGTCTCTACTAAAAATACAAAATTAGCCAGGCATGGTGGCTAGCGCCTGTAATTCCAGCTACTCAGGAGGCTAAGGCAGGAGAATTGCTTGAACCCGGAGGCAGAGGTTGTGGTGAGCCGAGATCATGCCATTGCACTCCAGCCTGGGCAACAAGAGTGAAACTCCATCTCAAAAAAAAAAAAAATACAAAAATTAGCCAGAAGTGGTGGCAGACACCTGTAATCCCAGCTACTCAGGAGGCTGAGGCAGGAGAATTGCTTGAACCCCGAAGGTGGAGGTTGCAGTGAGCCGAGATTGTGCCATTACACTCCAGCCTGGGCAACAGAGTGAGACTCCATCTCAAAAAATAAATAAATAAATAAAAATTAAAATACAAAAAATTAGCTAAGCGTGGTGGTGCATGCCTGTAATCCCAGCTACTCAGGAGGCTGAGGCAGGAGAATCACTTGAACCTGGGAGGCAGAGGTTGCAGTGAGCCGAGATCGCACCATTGCACTCCAGCCTGGGCAACAAGAGTGAAACTCCATCTAAAAAAAAACAAAACAAACAAACAAACAAAAAAACCACACACAGTAAATACAGTATTATTCTATTGGCAATAAGTTCAAGAATAAGCAAAACTAGTCTATGGTGATGCAAATCAGAATTGTCACCTCCGGGGCAGTGATTAGCAACCAAGAGCAGTTGTCCCCCCAACCCCCATGGAACATTCAGCAATGTCTGGAAACCATTTTGGTTTTTACAACTGGAGGGTGGCAATGGGAGGTTGCTACTAGCATCTACTAAGTAGAGTCTAGGGATGGGTGCATTTCATAATGCATAGAACAGCACCCCCATCCCCACTACCAACATAGACACACACACACACCAAAGAATTTCCCAACACAAAATATCAATAGTGCCAAAGTTGAGAAATCTAGCCCCAGGAGAAGGATTATTGATTGGAAAGGGACACAAGGGAAGCTTCTGGGCTTCTGGTACTTGATCTGAGTGGTAGCTACCACAGTGTATACTTCTATAAATTTTCATTAAGCTGTATACTTGAGATGACTAGCACACTTTACATATTTTACTGATCCATCTTATACCCCAAAAAAGTTTTTAAAAGGCTACTATAATTTGAAAATACATTGTTTTAAACAAGCAAATGGACAAAATGCTCCTATTAAAAAAGCAAAGAGTGGCCCTGATAGCCAAAACAATCTTGAAAGAAGAACAAAGCTGGAGGACTCATACTTCCTGATTTCAAAACATACCACAAAGCTATAATAATCAAAACAGCACGGTACTGGCATAAGGACAGACATATAGACCAATGAAACAAAATAGAGTACCCAGAAATAAACACATTTATGGTTGGTCTATTTTTGACAAGAATGCTAAGAACATTCACTGGGGAAAGGACAGTTTTTTCAACAAATAGAGCAAGAAAAACTGGATATCCACATGCAAAAGAATGAAGTCGTTATATGAGGTACCTAGAGTAGTGAAAATCATAGAAACAGTAGAATGGTGGTGGCTAGGGGCTGGGGGACTGGAAAATGGGAAGCTATTGTTTAATGCATATGGAGTTTGAGGTTCATAAGATGAAGAGTTATGGAGAGGAAATGGTGCCAATAGTTGCACAACATTATGAATATATTTAATACCACTGTATTAAACTGTTCACTTAAAAATGGCTGGCCAGTCATGGTGGCTCACACCTGTAATCTCAGCACTTTGGGAGACCTAGGCAGGTGGATCACCTGAGGTCAGGAGTTTGAGAGTAGCCTGGCCAACAAGGTAAAACCCCATCTCTACTAAAACTACCAAAATAAGCCGGGCATAGTGGCACACACCTGTAGTCCCAGCTACTGAGGCTAAGGCAGGAGAATTGTTTGAACCTGGGAGGCAGAGGTTGCAGTGAGCTAGGATCACACCACTGCAATCAAGACTCCATCTCAAAAAAAAAAAAAGGTTAAGATAGGGCCAGGTGTAGTGGATTATGCCTGAAATCCCAGCACTTGGGGAACCCAAGGCAGGAGGATCATTTGAGCCAGGAGTTCAAGACCAGCCTGGGCAACATAGCGAGGTCTCTTCTCTACAAGATATTAAAATTAGCTAGATGTAGTGGTGTGTGCCTACAGTCGTAGCTATTTGGGAGGCTGAGGTGAAAGAATCACTGGATCCCAGCAGTTTGAGACTGCAGTGAGCTATCATCGCTCCACTGCACTCCAGCCTGTGTGACAGAGTGAGACCCTGACCCTAAAAAATAATAATAATAATTTAAAAATGTTTAAGATGGTAAGGTTTGGCTGGACATGGTGGCTCATGCTTGTAATCTCAGCACTTTGGGAGGCTGAGGCAGTGGATCACTTGAGCCCAGAAGTTCAAGACCAGCCTGGGTAACATGGTGAAATCCTGTCTGTACTAAAAATATTTAAAAAATTAGCTGAGTAGGGTGGCACGTGCTTGTAATCCCAGCTACCTGGGAGGCTGAGGCAGGAGGATCACTTGAGCCCTGGAGGTGGAGGTTGCAGTGAGGCAAGATCATGACACTGTACTCCAGCCTGGGCAACAGAGTGAGATCATGTCTAAAAAAAAAAAAAAAAAAGATGGTGAGAATTTTTTTGTTTTTTATATAGACAGAGTCTTGCTATGTTGCTCAAGCTGGTCCCAAACTCCTGACTTCAAGTGATCCTCCTGCCTTGGCTTCTCAAAGCACTGGTATTACAGGCATGAGTCATTGTGCTGGCCTAGACGGTAAATTTTGTTATGTATATTTTACCACAATTAAAAAACTGGAAAAAAAGAAACTTTTTTATTTTTATTTTATTTATTTATTTATTTTTGAGACAGAGTCCCGCTGTGTCGCCCAGGCTGGAATGTAGTGGCACGATCTTGGCTTACTGCAACCTCTGCCTCCCAGGTTTAAGTAGGAGCCTCCTAAGTAGCTGGGATTACAGGCCCCGGCCACCACATCAGCTAATTTTTGTATTTTTAGTAGAGACAGGGTTTCACCATGTTGGCCAGGCTGGTCTCAAACTCCTGACCTCAGGTGATCCACCCACCTCGGCTTCCCAAAGTGCTGGGACTACAGGCATGAGCCACCGCGCCCAGCCTGAAAAAAAAGCTTTTTTTTTTTTTTTTTTTGAGATGGAGTCTTGCTCTGTCTCCCTGGCTGGAGTGCAGTGGCTCAATCTCGGCTCACTGCAACCTCCATCTCCAGGGTTCAAGTGATTCTCCTGCCTCAGCCTCCCAAGTAGCTGAGATTACAGGAGTGTGCCACCACACCAGCAGATTTTGTATTTTTAGTAGAGAGGGGGATTTGCCATGTTGGCCAGGCTGATCTGGAACTCCTGACCTCAGGTGATCTGCCCACCACAGCCTCCCAAAGTGCTGGGATTACAGGCGTGAGCCACCACACTCAGCCGAAAAAAAAACTTTTCAATTAAAAAAGAATACATTGGGACAGCTGTGGTGGCTCATGCCTGTAATCCCAGCACTTTGGGCGGCTGAGGCAGGCAGATCACTTGAGGTCAGGAATTCAAGACCAGCCTGGCCAACATGGTGAAACCCTGTCTCTGCTAAAACTACAAAAATTAGCCAGGCATGATGATGCATGCCTGTAGTCCCAGCTACTCGGGAGGCTGAGGCAGGAGAATCACTTAAACCCAGGGGGCGGAGGTTGTGGTGAGTGGAGATCATGCCATTACACTCCAGCCTTGGTGACGGAGCAAGACTCCATCTCAAAAAAAAAAAAAAAAAATACTATAAAGTATCTACGATTAGCCCAACCCAGGGTGCACTAGACTTCTATGAAGAATTTTTTAAATCCTAGTAAAGCATATATCCTATGTAAAGGAAAGTGTGAATAGGTGAATAAATTGATAACATTCTTTAAAAAATGCAGCAAGATTTTTTTGAGGCCCTAAAAAAATCCCTAAGAAACCCTAGAAATGCATTCTAAAATGTACAGAGGCTGGGCATGGTGGAACATGCCTGTAGTAGTCCCAGAGCTCTGGGAGGACGAGGTGGGAGGATAGCTTGAGGCCAGGAGTTCAAGACCAGCCTGGGCAACGTAGCAAGGCCCCATCTCTACAAAAAATAAAAAATAAAATTACTCAGGTGTGGTGGTGTGGTGTGCACCTGTAGTCCTAGCTACTCGGGAGGCTGAGGCAGGAGGGTCTCTTGAGTCAAGGAATTCAAAGTTGCAAGGAGCTATGATCACACCACTGAACTCCAGCCTGGGCAACAGAGTGAGACTTTTGTCTCAAAAAATAAAATAAAATAAAATGTTATCTACTAATAGCTAAGTTGATTTTCAGAACAATTTTAAAGGATTCTCGGTCGGGTGTGGTGGCTCAAGCCTGTAATCCCAGCACTTTGGGAGGCTGAGGCAGGCGGATCACCTGAGGTCGGGAGTTCAAGACCAGCCTGACCAACATGGCAAAACCTTGTCTCTACTAACAATACAAAAATTAGCTGGGCGTGGTGGTGGGCGCCTGTAATCCCTGCTACTCAAGAGGCTGAGGCAGGAGAATCACTTGAACCCAGGAGGCAGAGGTTACAGTGAGCCAAGATCAAGCCATTGTTCTCCAGCCTGGGCTGCAGAATGAGACTCCCACTCAAAAAAAAAAAAAAAAATAGGATTCTCATCAGATATGAACACCTATTTACAAAACCATGGTCCTTTTTAAAAAATCTTAATATAGTATTGGCGCATGGACAAATAAAAATGGATTAAGAAAAGATATTTACAGCATCAGAAACTGACAGGGGATTAATTTACAGAAATCCTACAAATCAGGAGGGAGGCACAGGTTCCAGACAGGACCCCAAGGCCTTGCTCAGACCTGAGAAGCCAGGTCTAAAATGTATCAAGGAAGAAAAAGATGTACATTTTGAATGGAAGGGATAGTTTGTTGATACAATAGACATAATTTGGACAGAATAGAAGTATTATACAGTGATTTTTTTTTCTTTTTTGAGACGGAGTTTTGCTCTTGTTGCCCAGGCTGGAGTGCAATGGTGAGATCTCAGCTCACTGTAACCTCTGCCTCCCAGGTTCAAGCAATTCTCCCGCCTCAGCCTCCCGAGTAGCTGGGATTACAGGCATGCGCCACCACGCCTGGCTAATTCTTTGTATTTTTAGTAGAGACGGGGTTTCACCATGTTGGCCAGGCTGGTCTCAAACTCCCAACCTCAGACGATCCACCTGCCTCAGCCTCCCAGAGTACTGGGATTACAGGCGTGAGCCACTGCGCCCGGCTATATACTGATATTACAGTCAATGAAGTTGAAGCTCAGGCAGATTAATTAGCTTGTCCCAGGTCACATTGCTAGCAGAGGCCGATTATTAGATGTCTAGTATAGAATTAATAAATCATATGTTATCAACTGCCTGCTGTCCCCTTCCTTCCTTCTCCTCTCCCTGCCCTAAGAGTCTGAAGACAGAATTCCTCCAGGACAGTGCTCTCTCTAGGGCTGCGGCCCTGGCCTTACCCTCAGGGATGCCTTGCAAGGTCACGGCGTCCTTGCCTGCGGGGTTGGAGATGGGGAATCCCAGCGGGAACTGGCCCACCTTAATGCTGGCCATCTCACTCCAACTCTCCAGATTCTCCTCCAGGGGCACAGTGTGGATGCTGTTGTCCTTGGCATCATCCTGCTGACTGCTCAGCGTCAAGGTGGAGGTGTCGCTGAACAGGAGGCTGGAGTCCAGGCTCAGAGTCTCATTGGAACCCAGGATTAGAGTCATGCATGAGGGTGGAGAGATGGTGGAGTTGGGCTCATGGGTGCTGGAGTGCAGGCTGATACCATAGCTGGAGCCAGGAATCAGGGTCACATACGAGGCTTGAGTGATGGTCACGCTCAAATCAGATCTGGAGTGGCCGCTGGAAGCCACATTCATGGTTTCCTTTGAACTTGTGCTCCAGGTGGTACTAAAGGCTCCTTTTGAAACAGACTCAGAGATATTATGTGAAGCCAAAGTGATGGTCTCATTTGTGTCTGGGATTAGGGTCCCATGAGAATCTGGAGCTACATTCAGGTTCAGCTTGGAGGTGTTTCTTGAGCCCATGTTGAGCAATGGATTGGAGTCAAGGTCCAGAGAAGAGTTTGAGGTTGGAATAAGGAGTGCTTTTGAGCTTGGCCTAGAGATGCAGTGGCCCAGAACCAGACCTTCTCTGGAATGGTGCCTTATAAATGGGTTTAATTCATGCCTAGAAGGGTTGGAGTTTCTCTGACCCAACTTGAAAATCTTACTTGAGAGGCACTTGAAGGCATCTTCAGAATTTGACTGAGGGTGGTTCCCAGAGCTCAGACGAGGGGCCTCAGTAGAGCTAGGGCTCAGAATGGGGTTTGAGGCTGGACAGAGGCGCCCCTGTGAGTCAGGCCTTGAGACATCCTTGGAATCCAGGTCCAGGGCTTCACCAGAACAAGAACTGGTGATCTGGAGGGAGGCTGGAGCGATAGCTCTGCTGTCATCAGGTCTGGGGGTGTTTTCAGACACCAGGCCTGAGGCCTCCCCTGAGACTGGACTCAAAGAATCATTAAGATCTGGAACGAGAGCCAAGCCAGGACTTGGGAGCAGATTCAACATAGGCACCTGAGCCATGTCTGGGTGGGGCTGAGGGATGGTACCAGACCCTAATCCCGGGGCCCCACAGGAGGGGGGACTTGGTGTCATCTTTGGGTCTTCATGGAAGACCAGGTTAGCCCCTGGACTCAGGGCCATGTCCAGTCTGGAGGTCTCTCAATGCCAGTGCCCGCTTCTCTCCAACAGCCAACTGTCACATTCCCAGCAGCAGTCTTGAGAGAGAGAAAAGACAAATGCAGCCATGCCACACCTGTTAAGGCTTTTCCAGGGCTCCCACTATTCTTAAGATGAAAGCCCCTTGCTGTGACTTACAAGGCCCTGGTGACTGTGCCCAGCCCACCTTTCCAGCCCATCACTTGCCACTTGCCTCCACAGTCTCTCAGTTCTGTTCTTTGACCACAACCTGCTCCCTCCTGGCTCATGATCCTGAACAAACTCAATCCCCTTGGCTTGTAGGATTGCATGGGGGTAATTCTCATTATCCTTTGCTTAATCCCACTTCTAGCAAAATACTCAGCACATTTCATTCCAGTGAATTCATTTAGTGTTCTAGCTCTTGCTAGAGATGAGCTTTGCAATGACAAGAACTGTGTATACCTTGGCCCCTGGGGCAACCCCAGCTCCTAGCCCAGTGCCAGTTACACAGTTGGAAGCTTACAAATAGACAAATGAGGAGTCTCTTCTACTTTAAGGCAGAAAAAGGGAAGGAAGAGCCTCCTTATGAGTTACCCCACTTCCAGCTGGCCACATGTGACAGGGTAACCTAAGTGCACCAACAAGGAGCCCTGAGCCTTGCAAGATTGGGGTGCTCCAAACCAGAGACAAACTCCTAAGTTGCTAGAACTACTCTGCCAGTACCCATGGCACTAGATTCTCACAGCAACCCTGGCAAAGCTGCCTATAGCCTTAACAGTTTGCTTGTTCCGGGTGAAGTGGGCTCTGTGGAGGAGACCATAGGGCAGCTGTCAAACACCTGCCTTAACACAGCAATCTAACTGCTGGATGAACTCCCCAGTCCTCCCAGCACCCCTACCCTCAATCTGGGGCTACCCTCCCTGTGGGAATCATAGGGACAGCTCACCTGCATGCATGGTGTTTTTAAGCAGGAGCGGGCCCCTGGGAGGAGATGCAGAAAGAAATCAAGTCAGGGAAGAGTGCCTTTTTCAACACTTACTGCACAGTCCACAGGCCAGGCATGCACGTCTGTTAACAAGCTCCGCACTACACACACACACACACAAACACACACACACAGAGAGAGAGAGAGAGAGAGAGAGTAAGTTTAATATTTATACATAAGGAAGTGAAGGTCAAAGAGAGGAAGGTCACTCACCCCACTGGCCTTCTGGGCAGCCAACACCATCTCTAAGCCATCCCCTTGCCTAAACCCCTCCATGGCTTCCTGTTATCTTTAGGATAGAGTCCTCCAGTTGTTAGCAGACCCAAAAGGCCCTCTGTATCTGGCCCCAGTCCCCTTTTCACCCTTTTTGCCCCTCCATATGTCCCTTTCCTTTTCCGTTCCACCCTTGCAGAGTTCTTTTGACTTCCTCCAAAGAGGCAGGCTCTCCCAGTTAGGTCTGGGTCTTCCACAGGCTGGGCATCCATCTCCACTCCCCTTCCCCAGCTAATGACTGCTGCTTCACCCTTTCAGGTTTCAGCTCAAATGCTAAGAGCCTTCCAGGTCCCCTAGACAGGTGGGGGCCACCTGAAAGTTCTCAGGCCACCTTGTTCCTTCCCGTCTCTTGGCTCACGGTATCTGGCTTCCCCACTAGCCAATGAGCTCCACTGATGCAGAAACTGCATCTGCCTTGTTCTCTGCCAATTTCTAATGTCTAGTATAGCACCTGGCACACAGTAAATGTCCAAAGCCCGTTTGTGTTATTTCATTATTTTTCTCTCTTCTTTGTTTGTAGTTTTTGTTTTGTTTTTAATTTCTTTTGGCAAGGGGTGAGGACAGAACCACACAGTGGTGGTGGGGGAAGGGCCAGGGAGATGAGAGAGCTGGGGAAGAGAAAAGAAAATGCAAGAAACAGGGAGTGCAGCTGGGTGCAGGGGCTCACGCCTGTAATCCCAGAACTTTGGAAGGCGGACGCAGGAGGATTGTTTGAGTCCAGGAGTTTGAGACCAGCCTGGACAACATAATGAGACTCTGTCCCTACAAAAAAATACAAAAATTAGCTGGGTGTGGTGGCATGTGCCTGCCGTCTCAACTACTCAGGAGGCTGAGGTGGGAGGATCACTTGAGCCCAGGAGGTTGAGGCTACAATGAGCTGTGATCACGCCACTGCATTCCAGCCTGAGTGACAAAGTGATACCCTGTCTCAAAAAAAAAAAAAAATCGGGATGGCGATCAACATGCATAGGGAGAAATACTAAACATTGGTAAGGAAAGTAGGGAGATAAGAGAGGAACAAGGAAGGAAGGGAGGAGAGGAGAAAGGCAAGAGGGAAGAGAAGAAGGAAGAAAGGAGAGGTAAGAGAAGAAAAGGGAGGGATAAGGGAGAAGAAAAGAGGCAGTAAAGAGGAGAGGGAAGAGGAAGGCCAGAGGGAAAGGAGGAGGAAATAAGAGAAGGGCAATGGGTGGCAAGGGGAGACTCTTCTTCATTTGATGAGGTATTCTTTCACTAACTCATTTCATCACTTCTTCATTTATCATTCATTCATGTGCTAACTCATTCAGTGAATCATTTACTCACTCCACAAATTTTGCTGTGTATCTTTATAGCATGGCTTTGGAAAGACCATATATTTCTTCATGTAGTCCTGAGTTTAAAGCCCAGCTCAACCTCTTGCTAGTATGGGTGAACATGGGCAAGAGACTTTTCCCCTCTGGCCCTTGTCCTCCCCATCTCTAAGATAGGGAACACATAAAGCCTTCCACAGGGGTGATTGTAGTTACAGTGCCTGGCATGGAGTACATGGCCCACCGAAGCCCTTAACTAAATGGTAGCTACTTGTTTTATTCCTCTCTGCCAGGCACTGTGGGCAGAAAGGAATAAGGCACTCAGCACCCAGTGGAAGCTGCCTTCATTCCAAGCAAGTTCCTGCATAGCTCTGCATCTGCCTTGGAAGCAAGTTCCAAGCAAGCAGTTCCTGCACAGCTTTGCATCTGCCTTGGAAGCAAGAAATGCTCACTTACCATCAGCACCAGAGGCAATTTTACCCTGAATGTAAAATTTGATTGCTCCTTGATTTCACAGTCCCTTTCCAAAGCCCTGTACTTAATTTCATGTCCATAATTTTGTCTCTTCTTACTTAAGGAGGAGCGTGAATCTTCCCTTAATGATCTCTGCCACCCGTGTGTAAACGTGCCACATGCACACACACAGGACCATAGTCACCAAAGGGAGGCATTTTTAACCTGGAAAATATGGCTTGTTGCAGCCTACGAGGCAGTGATTAAGATCTTCAAAGACCTAACTTGTTTGGGCTGAGGAAGAAAGACTTCATCTCTACCCCAGCAGATGCACCATACCAGGTCACTGGGCAGAAGGCCACAGATCTCAACCCCAGCTGACCTACCCCCAGTCCTCCTCCTCCATCCTGCAACAGACAGGCAAGTCTTCAGAGCTGCCTGGCAGTGACTGGGGTAGCCCATGGCTTGCCCTCTACCAAACAGACACTGTGCATTAGGAGGAGCCGTGGCTCTTGAGGGGCTTGGGTGGGATCTACAGGAGCTAAAGGAGCTCACTACTCCCTGCTGACAGCCACAAACTGCCTGTTGGCCTTTGCCCTGCAATCCTGGAGCCCCAGATGGAAAGGTCAGAGCACACCCATAAAACAACTAGTGCTGTCTAAGACAGAGAGAATCATTAACCAATTGCCATCCTCCCTTCTCCACCTCAATTAACCCTTCCAGGCCCTGGACAAGGGTTGCTAGAGCCTTCAAGGGGTGGAACTATCAATAGATTGTCCAGTTCATCATTGAGAACACACTGTTATCAGATGTAAGGGCCTGGAATGTGTTAGACACTTGTGCAAGTACCTATACACTCACACACATTTGCACACACAGAACAGCTGAGATTGGAGCACCTCAGACCCAGAGCATCCAAAACAGACTCTCCATTTTTCCCCTAAATAGGACTCTTCTATTCTCCTCCATTGCAAGGAACTGGCACCATCTATCATCCAAGCCAGAAACAACATCCTCCTTGAGTGCTCTCTTTCTCACTTGCTGCACCCAATTTTGGCCAAGTTCTGCTAATTCTGGCTCCAGAACAGCTCTCAAATCTCTCCCCATTTCTTCATCACGACTACCAGACCCTACTCCAGTTCCCATTGTTTTGAGGCTGGATCTTGGAATTGCTTGCTCAACAGGGGTCCCTTTATCTAGACCAGCTTCCAACAAACCATTTTCCAAAGTAAGCCATAGAGATCTTCCTTCAAAATTGCATGCAGACCAGGCACAGTGGCTCACACCTGTAATCCCAGCACTCTGGGAGGCCGAGCTGGGTGGATCATCTGAGGTCAGGAGTTCGAGACCAGCCTGGCCAACATGGTGAAATCCTGTCTTTACTAAAATACAAAAAATTAGCCAGGCATGGTGGCACCCGTCTGTAATCCCAGCTACTTGGGAGGCTGAGGCAGGAGAGTTGCTTGAACCTGGGAGGCAGAGGTTGCAGTGAGCCGAGATTGCGCCACTGCACTCTAGCCTGGGCAACAGGAGCGAAACTCCGTCTCAAAAAATAAATAAATAAATAAATAAATAAATAAATAAATAAATAAAATTGCATGCAACAGTGTGGTACTGACATAAGGATAAATATATAGACTAATGGGATAGAATTGCAAGTCCAGAAATAAATCCATGCCTATATGGTCAAATGATTTTTGACAAGGGTGGTAACTCCTCCATTAATAGGGAAAGAATAGTGTCTTCAGCAGGGCATGGCGGCTCACGTCTATAATCTCAGCACTTTGGGAGGCTGAAGTGGGAGGATCACTTGAGCCCAGGAGTTCGAGACCAGCCTGGGCAACATAATAAGACTCTATCTCAAAAATAATAACAATAAAATAATTAAATAAATTGTATGTTCAAAAATAATAGTCTTTTCAACAAATGTTTCAACAAATGGCAGTGGAACAGCTGGATATTGACATGCAAAAGAATGAAGTTGAACTCCTATCCCACATTCTTTTTTTTTTTTTTTTTTTTTTTGAGATGGAGTCTCACTCTGTCACACAGGCTAGAGTGCAATGGCACAATTTTGGCTCACTGCAACCTCCACCTCCCAGGTTCAAGCGATTCTCCTGCTTCAGCCTTTCAAGTAGCTAGGGCTACAGGTGCCCACCACCAAACCCAGCTAATTTTTTTTTTTTTTCAATACAGAGTTTCACCCTTGTTGCCCAGGCTGGAGTGCAATGGCACGACCTCAGCTCACTGCAACCTCCGCCTCCTGGGTTCAAGTGATTCTCCTGTTTCAGCCTCCCCAGTAGCTGGGATTACAGGTGCATGCCACCACACCCGGCTAATTTTTGTATTTTTAGTAGCGACGGGGTTTCATCATATTGGTCAGGCTGGTCTCGAACTCCTGACCTCAGGTGATCCACCCACCTTGGCCTGCGAAGGTGCTGGGATTACAGGCGTGAGCCACCATGCCCAGCCTTTTTTTTAAGTAGAGACGGGGTTTCACCATGTTGACCAAGCTGGTCTCAAACTCCTGACCTCAAGTGATCCTCCTGCCTCAGCCTCTCCAAAGTGCTGGGATTACAGGCAAGATCCACTGCACCCAGCCTCCTATCCCACATTGTATACAAAAATTAACTCAAAATGCATTAAAGACCTACATGTAAGAGCAAAAACTATAAAACTCTTGGAAGAAAACATAGGAGTAAACCTTCATGATCTTGGATTTGGCAATGGTTTCTTAGACATGACACCAAAAACATAAGCAACAAAAGAAAAATATAGATAAATTGGACATCAGCAATATTTAAAACTTTTTTGCTTCAAAAGACACTGTCAGCCAGGAGCTGGGGCTTATGAGAGCCAAAGGTGGAAACAACCCAAATAGCCACATACTGATTAATGGATAAACAATATATGGTATGTCCGTACAGTGGATTATTCAGCCACTAAAAGGAATGAAGTACTCATGCATGTGAAACATGGATAAACTTTGAAGACATTATGCTAGGTGAAAGTAGCTGGTCACAAAAGACCACATATTATACGACTCCCTTTATATAAAATATCCAGAATAGTCAAATCTACAGAGACAGTAGATTAAAGCAGGACAGAGAGAGGTTGCCAGGGGAAGGGGAAAGCAGGGAATGGTAAGTGACTGCTTAATGGGTATAGGGTTTCCTTTTGGACCAGAAAAATATTCTGATAGTAATGATGGTTACACAACCTTATGAACACAGTAATTGTCACTAATGGTCAATTTTATGCTGGGTGCCTTATACCACATTTTTTTTTAATGGATGTGATAGACAAGGTTGTCAATTCACTTTTCTCTGTTCTTCCCTTCTAAAAATAACTAAATATTTTGGAAATAGTTCAACAGACAACCATAAAAGGATTCTGATGGCTGGAAAGAAGGCAGTGACTGACTAGGCATCTCAGGACTTGAAGGCTGACACTATGGTGAGTTCCCTGGAGTTTTCTTTTCATCACTCACATAACCCAAACTGGGCACCACAGAAGCCTGACACACAGATCTGCCGACAGCATAAACACACACTCAAAAGTAGAAGAAAAACTTGCTTTCTCCAGCCAAAAAGACCCGGAAAGAGGAAGCCCAACAGAGAGGGTCTCCCAGTGGGGAGCCCCAATCCCTTCTCCATACCTGGAGCAGTGACAGACCAATCCAACCTGCAGTGGCAATGTCAGCAGAACCCTGGATCTCTGGGCCCTCCACCCAGCATCAGACATTTTACCAGACCCTACATCTTCTGGCCTCCCCCACCCACTCCAGTGATAACAAGTGGCCCAGGGAAATGCCTTCTACCCCTGTAGGCAGCACCAGCAGGAATAAACAGGAGCCCCGGCAATACCAGAAAAATGAAGCAAATGAGGAGTCATAAATATCACTGGAGACCGGGCCTGTGCCAGGACTGTCAGAGTACGGAACAGTGCCAAGAACTTCTCTACTTTAAAATAACTTTTGGCTGCACGCGGTGGCTCATGCCTGTATCCCAGCACTTTGGGAAGCAGAGGTGGGTGGATCATTTGAGCTCAGGAGTTCAAGACCAGCCTGGGCAACATAGCAAAATCCCATCCCTACAGAAAATACAAAAATTAGCCAGGTGTGGTGGTGTGCGCCTGTAGTCCTACCTTACTCGGGAGGCTGAGGCAGGAGAATTGCTTGAGCCCGGGAGGCAAGCCTGCGGTGAGCCAAGATTTTGCTGTTGCACTCCAGCCCGGACAACAGGGAGAGAGTTTGTCTCAAAAAAAAAAAAAAAGAAAGAAAGAAAGAAAAGAAAAGAAATATCATTGGAGCTACAGTCCACAAAAGTAGGCCAGAACCTACAAACTAAACCTTAACACGGTGGCTCACACCTGTAATCCCAGCACTTTGGGAAGCCAAGGCAGGCAGATCACTTGAGGTCAGAAGTTCAAGACCAGCCTGGCCAACATGGTGAAACCCTGTCTCTACTAAAAATACAAAAAATTGGCTGGACATGGTGGTGCATACCTGTAATCCCAGCTACTCAGGAGGCTTGGGCAGGAGAATCACTTGAACCTGGGAGGTGGAGGTTGCAGTGAGCCAAGATTGCACCACTACCACTGCACTCCAGTTTGGGTGACAGAGCAAGACTGTCTCAGAAAAAAGAAAAAAAAAATCTTAATGTAATACCTAAAATGTCAAAGATGCAGTAAAAATCACTCATCATACCAAAAACTAGGAAAATCTCATCTTAAGACAACCAACCAACATTAACACTGAGATGAATCAGATGTTGGAATTTTTGACAAGGATTTCAAAGCAGTCATCATAAAAATGCTTTGGCTGGGCATGGTGGCTCATGCATGTAATCTCAGCACTTTGGGAGGCCGAAGCAAGCAGATCTTTTGATGCCAGGAGTTCAAGACCAGCTTGGCTAACATGGTGAAACCCCGTCTCTACTAAAAATTCAAAAATTAGCCAGGTATGGTGACAGGTGCCTGTAGTCCCAGCTACTAGGGAGGCTGAGGCATGAGAATTGCTTGAATCTGGGAGGCAAAGGTTGCAGTGAGCTGAGATTGCACCACCGTACTCCAGGCACCAGCCTGGATGACAGAGTGCGACTCCATCTCAGAAAAAAAAAAAAAAAAAGTTATTTGGCTGGACATGGTGGCTGATGCCTATAAGCCCAGCACTTTGGGAGGCCGAGGATCACTTGAGCCCAGGAGCTCTAGACCAGCCTGGGCAACACAGTGGGACCTCATTTCTATTTTTTTTTTTTTACATTAAAAAACAGAAGAAAGAAAAATCGGCCAGGCACAGTGGCTCATGTATGTAATCCCAGCACTTTGGGAGGCTGAGTCAGGCAGATCACCTGAGGTTAGGAGCTTGAGACTAGCCTGGCCAACATGGTGAAACCCTATCTCTACTAAAAATACAAAAATTATCCAGGCATGGTGGTGGGCACCTCTAATCCCAGCTACTCATGAGGCTGAAGCCAGAGAATTGCTTGAACCCAGGAGGTGGAGGTTGCAGTGAGCCAAAATCATGCCACTACACTCCAGTCTTGGTGACAGAGCAAGACAGGAAAGAAAGAAAGGGAAGGGAAGGGAAGGGGAAGAGAAGAGAAAGAAAGAGAGGGAGAGCAGGGGAGGGAGGGAGGGAAGGAAGGAAGGTCTAAACAACAAAGAGAAAATAGACCCCCCTCCCCACCCCCCAAAAAAAACCAGAACCTCAGGAATCTGTGGAACAATAACAAAATAATGTTTATATCATCAGAGTTCCAGAAGGAGAAAAGAGAGTGCTGAAAAAGCATTACTAGCAAGTCATGACTGAAAACTCCCCAAATTTAGTAAAAAACATAAATATACAGATCCAGAAAACTGCTGAAACTTCAAATGGGATAAATCTAAAGGAATCCATGCCAAAACACATCATGATTAAACTTCTGAAGAATAAAGACTTTAAAAAAAAATCTTAAAAGCAACCTGAGAGCCTTACCTATAGGGGAACACCAATTTGAATAACAGCATATTTCTCATCTGAAACTATGGAGGCCAAAAGGAAGTGGCACATATTTTTCAAGAGTTGAAAGAAAATTCTCAACCACACATTCTATAATAGGCAAAATTATACTTGAGGAATGAAAGGGAAATAAAGACATTCTCAGATGAAATAAAAATGCATGCAAGTCTAACCATGACATTCACCTCTTGTAACCCTTATGTGACTTCTTGTAGGTGTTCAAATGTTGGGGTGTGGGTGTAGCTTATATTTTTTAAAAGATAGATTCCCAAGCCTCACTCTCAGAGACTCTGCTTTGTAGTTCTGAAGGGATCCAGGAATCACTCTTTCATGAAGCTTTCCCTTACCTCCCCTCTCCTAAGCGACTTTTGCATGACTGGTGGACAGGCCAGGAGTGAAGACACCCTAATCTGAAGTCTGATATCTGTGTTTCTTCTGTCAGAGTCCTCAGCCCACAGGCCTAGCCCCTCCATCTCTCCAGCTAGATTCATTCCCTTCCCTGGCCTTGCACCACGTTTGAACCACTCTCAACTTCTTCCAGGATCCTCAATGTTTTGGCCTCCCTCTTGCCTTGGGACCTTTGCAAATACTCTTTCCTCTTCCTATAAACTTCCCCAAGACTATTCACCTAAACTTCAATTGCTCCCTCTGGCTAACATCTAGTCTAGTCACATTTCAGACACCAGCTTAGATTAGATGTCCCTTCCCCCAGGAAGTCTTCCTGGAATCCCCAAATGTGGGTGAGGCACCCTCCTCATGTGATCACTCTGTATCAGAGGATCAGTCTGTTTACTTATATGCATCTACTCTGAAAATGAGTTTGGTGAGTGTCTGGCTATCTTGTTACCCCTATTTTCCCAGCACATAGCACATGGCACACAGGGAAGGTTCAGAAAACATTCACGGAGTGAGGGAAGGATGAATGAATGAATGAATGACAACTCTTCAAGAAAGATGTCATCATCTCATTCATTGGCATGTTAGTTCAGACTGTGCAGGAATCTAGTTATTTCTGGCCAGGCACAATGGCTCACGCCTATAATCCCAGCATTTTGGGAAGCTGAGGCAAGAGGATTCCTTGAGCTCAGGAGTTCAAGGCCAGCCTGAACAACATGGCAAAACCGCGTCACTACAAAAAATACAAAAATTAGCCAGGCATGATGTGTGCACCTGTAGTCCCAGCTACTTGGGAGGCTGAGGTGGGAGGGTCACTGGAGCCGGGGAGGTTGAGGCTGCAGTGAGCTGTGTTCATGTCACTGCACTACAGTCTGGGTGACAGAGAGAGACTCTGTCTCAAAAAATAAAATAAATTGATTTCTACTAATTCCCAAGCAAGTGGTAGAGGCTGGATTCAAATCCATGTTTCTTCAACCCACAGTTTTCCCTATAATACCATAGAGATTCCCAAGACATGAATTACTCAGTGGAACCATGTCTTCCTGTTTCTTATTCCCCATTCCCTCTGCCACTTTTAGGTCCTTATCCTAAAGGAAAAGTTCAGTGAAAACAAGGCAACTTTCCTGATACCCAGCTATAATGCCAACATCCAAGGCTTTGGAGTCAGGCAGACCTGAATTCAAAACCTTCTCTCTCACCAGCTGTGTGGACCTGGACAGATGCCCTCATGACTCTAAGCCTCTATCTTAATATTCCAGATGAGATAGCCCACATAAAGTGATGATCGCAGGGCCTGGCCCACAGCAAGTCCTCAATAAATGTTCATCCCCACCATCCCTTCCTCCCCTGGGTGAGGGCAGGCTGGGGAGACTTGGAAAAAAGACAAAGTATGGTTTCCAGGCTCCAAGACTCTTCTTTCCCCAGATTTATGGCATTCCCTCCCTGCATCTTTTCACTCCCTTCCCCTCACCTCCCCCCAACTCCCAGCCACTACACTGTCAGGACCTGAGAGCCTAAACTTTCTGTGAGCCTTGGGCTGCTCATGTAAAGTTCAATGTGTTACCTTCACCTGGAGCATCCACATGGTAACAGAAAATCCAGCTCTAAGCCAAAGATATGAAGTTCTAACTGTGGAATACAGCCAGAGCAGGAGACTTGTACCCAGAAGTGCGGGAAGGTGGTAACTCCCTTGTGGGAGGCTGTGGAGACTGCCCCCACCCCTAGGACTTTCCCAGAGCTGCCCCTCAGCTTACCTAGGCTTCCCCAGCCCAGGCCAGTGTTACGGGCTTTATGAGGTCACCATGACCCAGAAGTCCCTCAGCCAATGAGACCCCTGCTCCCACCTATATAGTGGGGAGAAGAGATGGGGTCTTTTCAAAGAACTACCTGCCCTGAGACTCTCTTCAGCCTCCCGGAAAGGACTTCACTGCTAATAAACACTGAGTTTCTCATCCAGAATTCAAGTCTTCCCATAAAAACCCCTCACCATATGACCTTGGACCTCTGTGTATTTCAGGGTGACAAGGGCTTTGAAATCAGGTGGTCTGTGATGAGGCAACTGAGACCCATAGCGAGAAAATATTGGCCCAAGGTCAGGAGCTAGGATGCCTGCCTGTCCTTGTGCACTCAAATCCTTGATCTTTTTCCTACTCCACCCTAACTCCTGTTCCAGGCACAGATAAGTGCGTGGAGCAGGGCAGGAATGAGGGTGGGGCAGGCCGGGGCACAGCAGTGTCATCTAGATCTTTTGATAAGAAAAGCAAGACTCTACGGCTATCTTTCTAAAGAAAATCCTTTTGATGATGAGCAATAGCTCAGCTAATTAAGATGATTGGAGACTAGATACTAATAGAAACTTCACTGGGCACCATTTACAAAATGATAATGGAATCTTCCCATCTTCCTGTTCCCCCAGGTCAGGATGTCCTTAGATACACTGCATAACCTGTTGTCAGACAAGCTGCCTAGAAGTCAGCCTCATCCGACTCAGTCCCCACACTTGACTGTGACTTCACATTAGTGAGCAGCTGATGGGCTCTCCTGAATTCCCTCCAGTCCACCTAGGATCTCACTTTTTCTGCTTCTCTCCTCTCCTGTCCAAATCTGGACAGGGGGTCCCCTGCACCCCCAGTCTCCTTCTGCTGCTTCAGAGGCCTTGTGTCATCGAGGATTCCTCCTCCACTTGCCCCTTCCCCAGCAAAAATCCTTCCTTTGGCTGGGTGCAGTGGCTCATGCTGTAATCCCAGCAATTTGGGAGACCGAGGCAGGAGGATCACCTGAGCCCAGGATTTCAAGACCAGCCTGGGCAACATAGTGAGACTTCATCTCTACTAAAAATAAAAATTAAAAAATATCAACCAGGTATGGTGGCATGCGCCTGTAGTCCCAGCTACTTAGCAGGCTGAGGTGGGGGGAATCACCAGCATCTGAGAGGTCGAGCTACAGTGAGCCAAGATGGTGCCACTGCACTACAGCCTGGGCAACAGAGCAAGACCCTGATTAAAAAAAAAAAAACAAATTCTTCCCTCAAACTTACTTCTTTCCCCAGCGTCCCCTCCCTCACTCTTTATCTCCAGTGAAAAGCCTCTTCCAATGATCGTTTTTGACTCCTCCCTCTTCCTCTCTGGCCTCCTGCATGTAAACTCCCAAGTCCTTCCAATTTTACCTCCAAATCCTTGGCCTCCAACCTCACACCCTCCATCCTAGCTCAGATCTTCGTCATTGAAAGCCCAGATTCTGGCCAGTCCTGTAAATAATGTCCCACAGGGCAGGTGTTCCCCTCTCCTAGCCACCCGCATTAGGCAGAGAGGCAGCTTCCCTGACAACTCATTTCCCCTCTTAACACCTTCAGCGTCCTCCACTGCTGCCAGGGTCACGTCAAGCTCCTTAGTCTGGCATTGAGGCCCCTTCACAGTCTGCCCTGCCTGCCTGTCCATCTTGTCTCTGCTCCCTTTTGATTTTTAAGTTTGTACTGAAGCAAAAAATTGCATATGTCATGTCTATTTTTATGAATTTTCACCAAGTGAGCACACCCATGAAACCAGCACCCAGATCCAGAAATAGAGCATTACCAGGACCCCAGAAATCCTCCTCATGTCCTACTTCCAATCGCTATCCTCCTCGTCAGGGGAACAGCTATCCTGACTTTTAATATGGTTTGCCTGTTTTCATACTTCATATAAATGGAATTATAAAACACAGACTCCTTTCTTCTGACTTCTTTGGTTCAATTATCATGTTTGTGAGATTTTAAATATCCTTTGCACCCGGTAGCTATTTATTTTCTTGTAACTGTCGGTTTCCCTTTAGGTTCTCCCTGTTTTTGCTCTCTTTCCAGAGTCTTCAGGAGGTTTTTTGTTTGTTTTTGTTCAGAGCTCATAATTGTTACCGGTATGAAGGTTGATCTGATAGGAGCTACTTCGCCTATTACAAGCAGAACCTCTCCTTTTTCATTTTTATTTTGTTTTTCTCTTTTCTCACTTTGTTTTGGATCATTGAATTTGCCTTTCTTCTCGTACTCCTTTATTTCCCTTTCATTTGTTTGGAAGTTACATATTATATGTCTATTCTTTTTTATTTATCTTTTGAGACAGGGTCTCACTCTGTTGCCCAGGTTGGAATGCGGCCTCAACTCCACCCCCTGCCAGGATCAAGGGATCATCCTGGTCTCAAGCAATTCTCCTGCCTCACCCTCCCAAGTAGTTGGGACCACAGGTGCATGCCACCATACTTAGCTAATTTTTTAAATTTTTTTGTGGAGACTAGGTCTCCATATGTTGCCCAAGTGAGTCTCATATATATCTACTTTTTTCTTTCTTTTTTTTTTTTTTTTTTTTTTTGAGACAGTATCACTCTGTCACCCAGGCTGGAGTGCAGTGGTGTGATCATGGCTCACTGCAGCCTCGACCTCCCTGGACTCAAGCAATCCTCCCACCTCAGCCTCCCAAGTAGCTGGGATTATAGGTGCATGCCATCATGTCTGGCTAATTTTTTAAAATTTTTTTGTAGAGACAAGGTTTCACCATGTTGCCCAGGCTGGTCTCAAACTCTTGAGCCCAAGCGATCCTCCCGCTTCAGCCTCCCAAAGTGCTAAAATTACAAGCATGCACCACTGCATCCAGACTGTATACATCTATTCTTAACATTCAAACTTTAGTGAGCAAAGTCCAAAATTAATTAATACTGCTACCTTCCTTCAAGAAACAAATAAAAAATGGGCTGAGCACAGTGGTTCACACCTGTAATCCCAGCACTTTGGGAGATCCAAGGCAGGAGGATCACTTGAGGCCAACAGACAGGCCTGGGCAACACAGTGAAAGTGTCTCTAAAAACAAACAAATAAAACCTCCAAAAACAAAAAAAAACACAGGGACTGGAGAGGCACAGTCGCTCATGCCTGTAATCCCAGCACTTTAGCAGGCCAAGGCGGGCAGATCACTTGAAGTCAGGAGTTTGAGACCAGCCTGGCCAACACAGTGAAACCCCATCTCCACTAAAAATATAAAAAGTAGCTGGGCCTGGTGGCGCACATCTGTAATCCCAGCTACTTGGAAGGCTGAGACACAAGAATTGCCTGAACCCGGGAGGCCGAGGTTGCAGTGAGCTGAGATTTCGTCACTGCACTCCAGCCTGGGCAACAGAGCAAGGCTGTCTCACAAAAGAGTTTCTTAGTTGTAAACTCCTTTAGTTTTGTTTGCCAAAAAATTATAATTCTCATTCTCAAAACATTTTCACTGTATGTAGGAGCCTAGCGTGGTATTTTATTTTAGTACATCAAAGCTAATGTTCCACTGCCTTCTGGCTTCTGTGGATTCTGTCGAGAAGTTAGTCTGCCACCTTTTTGGTGATCAATCTATTCATGCCCAGCCCAAATCTATTTTTTCTGGCCGCTTCTAAGATCTTTTACTTTGGGCCAGATGCAGCAGCTCATGCCTGCAATCCCAGCACTTTAGGATGCCATGGTGGGAGGATAGCTTGAAGCCAGGAGTTCAAGACCAGCCTGGGCAGCATAGTGAGACCCTCTATTTTAATTTTTTTTTAATTTTAATAAAAAATAAGATCTTTTACTTTGGTGCTCTACAATCATATTATGCCACATATAGGTATGGATTTTTTTGTATTTTTCCTATTTGGAATATTTGGTGTTGATCAGAAAATTCGAAAAGTTTTCTAGAAATTGTTTTTTTCCCATTCTTTCTCTGCCCTGTGCAACTCTGATGAGTTGCACACTAAGCCTTCTTTTTTTGAGGCAGAGTCTCGCTCTCTTACCCCGGCTGGAATGCAGTGGCACGATCTCTGCTCACTGTAACCTCTGCCTCCTGGGTTCAACCAATTCTCCTGCCTCAGCCTCCCAAGCAGCTGTGATTACAGGCACCCACCACCACACCTGGCTAAATTTTGTATTTTTAGTAGAGAGAGATGGGGTTTCGCCATGTTGGCCAGACTGGTCTCGAACTCCTGACCTCAGGTGATCTGCCCACCTCAGCCTCCCAAAGTGCTGGGATTACAGGCGTGAGCCACCACACCTGGCCTAAAACTCTTTTTGTTTTGAGACAGAGTCTTACTCTATTGCCTGGGCTGGAGTGCAGTGGCATGATCTCAGCTCACTGCAGCCTCCACCTCCCATGTTCCAGCAATTCTTGTGCCTCAGCTTCCTGAGTAGCTGAAAGTACAGAGGCACACCACCATGCCCGGATAATTTTCATATTTTTAGTAGAGAAGGGGTTTCACCATGTTGGCCAGGCTGCTCTTGAACTCCTGAACTCAAAAGACCCGCCCACCTCTGCCGAGACCAGCTCGGTCACTAACTCAGCAGCGCTAGAGGAATTAAAGACACACACACAAAAATATAGAGGTGTGAAGTAGAAAATCAGGGGTCTCACAGCCTTCAGAGCTGAGAGCCCCCAACAGAGATTTACCCACATATTTATTAACTGTGGGGAAAAGAGAGATCAGATTGTTACTGTGTCTGTGTAGAAAGAAGTAGACATAGGAGACTCCATTTTGTTCTGTATTAAGAAAAATTCTTCTGCCTTGAGATGCCGTTAATCTGTAACCTTACCCCCAACCCTGTGCTCCCTGAAACATGTGCTGTGTCAACTCAGGGTTAAATGGATTAAGGGCTGTGCAAGATGTGCTTTGTTAAACAAATGCTTGAAGGCAGCATGCTCCTTAAGAGTCATCACCACTCCCTAATCTCAAACCACTCCCTAATCTCAAGTACCCAGAGACGCAAAATACTGCAAAGGCCGCAGGGACCTCTGCCTAGGAAAGCCAGGTATTGTCCAAGGTTTCTCCCCATGTGATAGTCTGAAATATGGCCTCGTGGGAAGGGAAAGACCTGACCATCCCCCAGCCCGACACCCATAAAGGGTCTGTGCTGAGGAGGATTAGTAAAAGAGGAAGGAACACCTCTTTGCAGTTGAGATAAGAGGAAGGCTTCTGTCTCCTGCTCGTCTCTGGGCAATGGAATGTCTGGGTGTAAAGCCGATTTACTTTACATGGAATATACTTCCATCTACTGAGATAGGGGAAAACCGCCTTAGGGCTGTAGGTATGACATGCGGGCAGCAATACTGCTCTTTAAGGCATTGAGATGTTTATGTGTATACATATCTAAAGCACAGCACTTAATTCTTTACCTTGTTTATGATGCAGAGACCTTTGTTCATGTGTTTACCTTCTGACCTTCTCTCCACTATTATCCTATTATCCTGCCATGCTCGATAATGATCAATAAATACTAAGGGAACTCAGAGGCCGGTGCCAGTGTGGATCCTCTGTATGCTGAATGCTGGTCCCCTGGGCCCACTTTTCTTTCTCTATACTTTGTCTCTGTGTCTCTTTTCCAAGTCTCTCGTTCCACCTAACGAGAAACACCCACAGGTGTGGAGGGGCAACCCACCCCTTCATTTAACAGCAAACCAGTCATTAGCATTGTTTCTATAGATATTAAATTAACTAAAAGTATCCCTTATGGGAAACAAAGGGATGGGCTGAATTAATTGCAGCAGGAACACACCCGTAAGACACAGATCGCTCATGCTTTTGTTTGTGGCTTAAGAATGCCTTTAAGCGGTTTTCCGCCCTGGGCAGGCCAGGTGTTCCTTGCTCTCATTCCCATAAACCCACAACCTTCCAGATTGGGCGTTAGGGCCATTATGGACATGTTTTAGTGCTGCAGAGGTTTTGCTTATGGCCAGTTTTGGGGCCAGTTTATGGCCAGACTCTGGGGGGCTTGCTCCCAACATGTCTCCCTTCTTCGATTTGCAAAGAGACTCTCGCAGGAGTCGGGATCCGCATCTGCAGACTATACAAAGGCAAACAACAGATTAAAAAGCATAGTCATCATTGAAATCACAGAGCTTCCAAGTGTTTTTACCCATTTAAATGGGTTACTAGCTGCTAATTTTTCTGCAGCTCCTTTAAGCACTCTGGTTCCTGGCATTAAGGTCAGGTTGCCCGGGATGCTTTACATATTTGTTCTTTTAATTTTGCTATATCCAAAAACAAGTTTGTAGAGTGTCCTTCTAGATACTCTTTTATTCTTTCCCAAATTTTGATCTTATTAAGAGCATTTAATAGTTTTTACAAATCCTTATGTTTAGCTCCTAGAGCGGGCCATATTATTTGAGGTTGAGGTGCCACTATACCGCCATGGTTCCAGATAATAGGAACTTTTGCCGTACTTAACATTTCTACCATCTGACTGTTTTGTTCAGATCATCTGAACATAGTGTGACCGTGGCATGCAGACTGAGAGGTGCAATTCAAGCTAAACATCCCCTTGGGGGACCAATTAGTAATGATTCCATAGGAATCGTTGTGCAGCATCTCTGCCTATTCTGCAAAGCAATCTTCCTAAATAAGTACGTTCATTTTTTCTAACTGGGTCCAATCCTGTTTACAAATAGGTTTTTGAGGGTGGTATGCCTCAATTATAGGAGCCGATTTATTATGGTAAATACTGAGATCAGAAAGCATGTGTAACTGTGTCATAGAATGATTGCATCCAGGCATTATTACCAGCCCTTATTGAAGGAATACTCACGGCAGTGGTGATAACTGCTATCATAGCTACCATTAAATTATTCATTGTGACTGGTTGTCCCGCTTTCCTCAGGTTTTCTTCCGCCATCTGTGACAGCTTCTTGATCTGTTCTTAGCGGGGTGGCTGTGTTCGACGGGTGTTGCTCATGATAGTTGGAGTCCTCCTCAGCGTCAGTCTCTACGTGGCTGCAACCAGGGGGTCCTCTGGATCCTCCCAGAGTCTCTTCCTTGGCATCTGGCTCATGATAAGGTTTCAGGTGTCTTGAAGGTATCCAAATCGGCTGTTGATTTTGGCCTGGAGAAACGCAAGCATAACCTCTACCCCAAATTATTATTTTACCTATTTCCCAACTTTTTGTTATTGGATCTCTTCACCAAATAATGCTAGATTCAATTGTGTATGGGCTGTTCTGTAATCCCTATTTTTCCACCTTTTTTGTTTTTATCATCAGTTGTTCATCGGTATGAAATCATAACTGAGCATTTTCAATTAACTGTGTGGAATGAACCACATATGAAGAATCAGAAATCCCATTAATAGGCATATCAAAAGCAGTCAATACCTCAATTACCGCTACAAGCTCCGCTTTTTGAGCTGAGTACAGGACGTCTGAAAAACTTTACTTTTTGAGCCAGAATAAGAAGCTTTACCATTACTAGACCCATCTGTAAAAACATTCTCAGCACCTTCAATTGGTTTAAATTTAGTTATTTTAGGGAGAATCCAATTAGTGAATTTTAAAAACTGAAATAGCTTCATTTTAGGAAAATGATTATCGAGAATACCCACAAAGTCAGCTAAATGGGTTTGCCAAGTAAGACTATTTATAAAAGCTTGCTGTATTTGTGCCTTTGTGAGAGGGACAGTAATTTTTCCAGGATCATATCCATGTAATTTAACAATCCGAGTTCTCCCAATCCCTATCATAGTAGCGATTTGATCTAAATAAGGAGTTGGAGTCTGTGAATTAGTATGTGGAAGAAAAAGCCACCCTACTAAGTCCTGTTCTTGGACAATAACACCAGTAGGTGAATGCTGAGTTGAAAAGATTAGCAAATCTAGAGTCTTCTCTGGATCTATTCTATTTATCTGAGCTTTATGGATTTGCTTCTCAATCAGTTGTAACTCTGCCTCAGCCTCTTTTGCTAATTGCCGAGGGCTAGTGAGACTAGGATTTCCTCCAAGGATAGAAAACAGATTACTCCTGGCATAGGTAGGAATGCCTAGAGCAGGTCGTATCCAATTAATATCCCCTAGTAATTTTTGAAAATCATTTAATGTTTTTAGTTGACAGTGAATAATGTAACACTGTGGAAATTTTTTACGGGTAGGTTCAATTGCTTGCCCCACATATGTCTGGCAAATTGTTGGGCTGTTTGGCATGCACTGTGGCAACACTTTTCAATGATAACACTTAGCAGGCTGCAGGTTGTTTAATGCAGGAATTGTAAATGCAAACTGTTCGCAGTCTTGCTCAGCTAAAGGTATAGTAAAGAAACAGTCTTTTAAATCTATGACTATTAAAAGGCCAATTTTTTGGAATTATAGCAGGAGAAGGCAATCCTGGCTGTAATGCTCCCATAGGTTGTATAACTGAACTGATGGCTCTTAAGTCAGTTAACATTCTCCATTTACCTGATTTTTTCTTAATTATGAAAACTGGAGAATTCCAAGGAGAAAATGTTGGAGTTATGTGCCCATTTTCTAATTGTTCAGCAACTAATTTCTCTAAAACCTCCAGTTTTTCTTTACTTAGTGGCCAATGTGCTATCCAAATTGGCTTATCTGTTAACCATTTTAAAGGTATAGGTTCTGGAGGCTTAACAATGGCTGCCACCAAAAATTTTTTCCTAATCTTTAGCAGGAACTTTGTTTTTCTGGGAACTTTGTTTTTCCGCTTGAAGTGGTTCTTTCAAACCTTGCAAATCTTTTTCTAGTCCCATACCAGGGACATACCCCATTTCATGCATTGTATGCTGACTTTGAGGGCTGTATGATTGTTCTGGAATTAGAACTTGTGCTCCCCATTGTTGTAATACATCTCTTCCCCATAAATTTATAGGTACAGAAGTTATAATTGGTTGAATAGTCCCAGGTTGTCCATCGGGCCCCTCACAATGCAATATATAACTACTTTGATATACTTCAGCAGCTTTACCAACTCCAACTATGTTAAATTGAGCGGGTTGAATTGGCCACGCAGACAGCCAGTGCTGTACAGAAATGAGTGAAATGTCCGTTCTTGTATCTACCAAACCTTTAAATTTCTTTTCTTGAATAGTTATTTCACAGGTAGGACGTTTATCAGTAATTTGATTTACCCAATAAGCTGCTTTGCCTTGTTTATTTGTGCTTCCAAATTCTCCTGTTCGTTTAATTTCACTTTTTCCCATTCCCACATACGGCACAACCAGGAGCTGTGCTATGCGCTCTCCTGGCTCTGCTTTCCAGAGAACAGAAGTAGATGTAACAATTTGGATTTCCCCACTGTAATCTGAATCAATGACTCCTGTATGTATTTGTATACCTTTTAAACTTACACTAGACCTTCCTAAAAGTAATCCTATTGTACCCACTGGCAAGGGTCCACAGACTCCTGTTGGGACCCTTTGCCGGGGTTCCGCAGGCAGAAGGCTCACAGCTTTTGTGCAGCATAAATCTACTGCAGCACTACCGGCTGTGGCAGGGGACAGACATTGTACAGGGGTGAGGGAATGGCCTGAGCCAGAAACGCCCCGGTTTAGAGCGGGGCCCGGGACGGGCCCCTCATGGCGTTTCCTGAAATTGGGTTCCCTTCTTTATCCAACTTAGAGTGACACTGACTAGCCCAGTGTTTTCCTTTTTTACATTTTGGACATATTTCAGGATCAGCAGTTTTCTTTTTTCCCCTATCTGGTGGCCTGACTCGCTGATTTTTTCTACATTCTTTTTTAGTATGACCACGCTTCCCACAGTTAAAACAAGCTCCAGGAAATGGAGTATTTCCTTTATCCACTCTCAGTCCTGCCATTGCCATTGCCAACAAGGTAGCTTTACGCAGATTACCTCCGATACCATCATAGGCTTTGATATAATAAACTAAATGTGCTTTCCCTCTGATAGGTCGCAGAGCAGCCTGGCCATCGGGATTAGCATTGTCGAAAGCTAATAACTGCAACACTGTATCCTGAGCAGCCGAATCTGCAATCATCTTTTTAAGAGACTCCTGTAACCGAGCTATAAAATCAACCTATGGTTCCCTTGGTCCCTGCTCTATAGCACTAAAGGAAGGGTATTGTTCCCCACCTGAAGTGATTTTTTCCCAAGCTCTAATGCACACTGCTCTAAGCTGTTCCATGGCATCATCCTGCATGACCACTTGTGCATCGAAACCAGCCCAGCCGCCAACCCCCGAAAGTTGGTCTGCAGTCCTATTAATTTGAGGTTGGACCTGGGCATTGCGAGCAACCTGAATGGAAGCTTCATCTGCCCACCAAGTTTTAAATTGTAAGAACTGAGCAGGAGTTACACAAGCTCAAGTAAGAGCGTCCCAGTCAGTAGGAATCATCTGACTGGAAACAGTAACATTCTTTAACAGTCCAATTACTAAAGGAGAACCTGGTCCATACTCATTTATTGCTTGTTTTAATTCTCTGAGTAATTTAAAAGGAAAAGGCTCAAATGTAGCTGTAATACTTCCCTGTTGATCTGGGGGGTGTATTCTAACAGGGAACTGCCAAGCCTCTAAATCACCCTCTTGTCTAGCTTGCTGAATTCCTGCCTGAATAGAACTAAGAGACGTCGCTCAAGGCGCTGCTCGAACAGTCACTGGGGCAACTACTTTTCGCCCAGTGTCCTCCGGAAAAGAAAGATCTGGGGAGTCATTTTCTTCAAAATAATAATGAGGGGATGCAGAAGGGTAGGGATGAAACTCTCCTTCCTTTGCCGCTTTAGCTTCAGCTGGCAAATAAACATGCTCTGTAACCTCTTCTGTTACTTCGCTATACTGTTGTTCCTCCTCGTTATCAGTGTGAAAAAGTTCTAAGGTGAAACGAACCAGACCCCATACCCATCCCATTGTTACCCTGACGCTTCCGGACTCCCCTTCTTACTCACCACGGGGATTGCTTTAAGAGTACTCAGGTGTCCTCCAGCTAGTTTTCCATTCCAACCGTCGCTCCTGCGACCCTTTGACCTGGATTCGAGCCCCCAGGAATAGAAGCCACTTGCCGAGACCAGCTCAGTCAGGGAGACCCTAACCCAGCAGCACTAGAGGAATTAAAAGACACACAGAGAAATATAGAGGTGTGAAGTGGGAAATCAGGGGTCTCACAGCCTTCAGAGCTGAGAGCCCGGAACAGAGATTTATCCACGTATTTATTAACAGCAAACCAGTCATTAGCATTGTTTCTATAGATGTTGAATTAACTAAAAGTATCCCTTATGGGAAACGAAGGGATGTGCCGAATTAATTGCAGCAGGAACACGCCCTTAAGACACAGATCACTCATGCTTTTGTTTGTGGCTTAAGAATGCCTTTAAGGGGTTTTCCACCCTGGGCGGGCCAGGTGTTCCTTGCCGTCATTCCCGTAAACCCACAACCTTCCAGCGTGGGCATTAGGGCCATTATGGGCATGTTACAGTGCTGCAGAGATTTTGCTTATGGCCAGTTTTGGGGCCAGTTTATGGCCAGACTGTGGGGGGCTTGCTCCAAACCCACCTAGGCCTCCCAAAGTGCTGGGATTACAGGTGTGAGCCACCACCACACCTGGCTTGTTTTTTTTATTTCTTTAAACATTAAACAGGCCAGGCGCAGTGGCTCACGCCTGTAATCCCAGCACTTTGGGAGGCCAAGGCAGGTGGATCACGAGGTCAAGAGATCGAGACCATCCTGGTCAACATGGTGAAACCTCGTCTCTACTAAAAATACAAAAAAATAGCCAGGCATGTTGGCAGGCGCCTGTAGTCCCAGCTACTCAGGAGGTTGAGGCAGGAGAATGGCGTGAACCCGGGAGGCAGAGCTTGCAGTGAGCTGAGATCGTGCCACTGCACTCCAGCCTGGGCGACAGAGCAAGACTCCGTCTCAAACATAAAAATAAAAATAAAAAAATAAACATTAAACAGGCTGGGTGTGGTAGTTCATGCCTTAATTCCAGCATTTGGGGAAGCCTAGGTAGGAGGATGGATTGAGTCCATGAGTTCAAGACCAGCCTGGCAACATAGTGACACCCTATCTCCACACACAAAAAAATTAGCTAGGCATGGTGGTGCACAGCTGTAGTCCTAGCTACTTGGGAGGCTGTGGTGGGAGAATAGCTTGAGCCCAGGAGGTCAAGGCTGCAATGAGACATGAACACATCATTGCACTCCAGCCTGGATGACAGAGCAAGACACTGTCTCAAAAAAATCAAAAAACAGGCCGGGCACGGGGGCTCGCGCCTGTAATCCCAGCCCTTTAGGAGGCTGAGGCAGGCGTATCACGAGGTCAGGAGATTGAGACCACCCTGGCTAACACAGTGAAACCCCATCTCTGCTAAAAATACAAAAAATTAGCCGGGTGTGGTGGCATGTATCTGTAGTCCCAGCTACTCAGGAGGCCGAGGCAGGAGAATCACTTGAACCCGGGAGGCAGAGGTTGCAGTGAGCCGAGATCGCGCCACTGCACTCCAGCCTGGGCAACAGAGTGAGACTCTATCTCAAAACAAAAAACAAAAAAGAAAAAAACCATGTTATTTTACTTTTGATAAGTTTGTATTCTGAATACTTTGTGGGTCTGATTCTGCTGTTTACATCATCTCTTGGTTTTCACCCATGGTGCCTTATTTTCTTATGATTTTTGGGGTTGTTGACAGGGAACTGCTTATTTTCCCTGAAATTTTGTCTCACAATTCCTTGAGGCCTGGATTAAAGCTGTGTTCTTCTTCTTTTTTTTTTTTTTTTTTTTGAGACGGAGTCTTGCTCTGTCGCCCAGGCTGGAGTGCGGCAGTACAATCTCGGCTCACTGCAACCTCTGCCTCCCCGGTTCAAGTGATTCTCCTCCCTCAGCCTCCCAAATAGCTGCGATCACAGGCATGAGCCACCACACCCCGCTAATTTTGTATTTTTAGTAGAGACGGGATTTCGTCATGTTGGCCAGGCTGTTCTCGAATGCCTGATCTTGAGTGATCCGCCCGCCTTAGCCTCCCAAAGTGTTGGGATTACAGGCATGAGCCACTGCACCCAGCCTCTATCTTCCTCTTAATAAAACATGTTTTTGCTTGTAGTAGTTATCTTGGGGCACTACCGACATGAAACTACTTTAAATAAAATTCCACCATTTAGAGTGCTGAGACCACCTAAGCAGTACAAATTCATGACAGTGTCAAAATAGGCAAATGGGTTTCTTTTTTCCTTTTTTGGGGGGGGGGGGCGATGGGGTCTTGCTCTGATGCCCAGGATAGAGTACAGTGGCACCATCCTCCCACCTCCTGGGTAGCTGGGACTATAGGCATGCACCACCATGTCTCGCTAATTTATTTTTTTATTTTGTAGAGATGAGATCCCTCTGCATTGCCCAGGCTGGTCTCGAGCTCCTGGGCTCAAGCAATCCTCCCACCTCAGCCCCGCAAAGTGCTGGGATCACAGGTGTGAGCCACCAGTTCTAAAAATGACAGCTCCATGTCTGAAATGTTGGAGCCTCTGAACCACCCCTGGTTTCACCTCCCCTGTAACATGCAATGGTATGGGAGTGGGGAGAGTATCAGAGTAACCCACATAACACAGCCTGAGGCACACACTTCCCTGGGCCATTTGCTGTTCTAAGCAATGCAGTGTGGGAAGTCCTGTGGCTCTGCCGGGGTGCAGGGGTGAGCAGTGCTGAAACAGGACAGCCTGGATGCAGAGGCAGTCAGGCCTCCAGAACCATTTCTCAACTCCAGCCTCCAGCCACCTCCCAAATGCAAGCTGAGTGTGGCGCTCCCTGCTTATCCCATGGGTAAGGGCTCCCCAACCCATCCAGGTTGAAGCCAAATTCTTTATCAGGGTGACCCAGGCCTCCGGGGCTCCCCAGTCTCATTTCTCTCCCCCTCCGCCTCCCCACATTTCCCACCTGCTGCTCCAGCCACACCACTCACGCTCCCAAACAGGCTCTTCTCCCTCATGCCTGTGCCCTCTCCCACACACACTGCACCCTTTGTCTGGAAGGTCTTCCCTAGCCCCCGTCCCTGATGGTTCTCCGAGTCAGCCAAGCCTCTTCTGAAAGCCTCCTGGCCCACCCAGGAGTTTGGGGTTTCTAACCTGTGTCTTCTCCATCCTGCATGCCCCAACCTGGGCCCACTGCCACTTTCCATGTCTGACATCCTTACAGGCTATAAGCCTGCTCTGTGTTTTTGATGTGCACCAGCTCTATTAATAAAATGGCTGTTTCACATCTGAAATGCTGGAGCCCCCTGACAGCCCCTGCTTTCTTCTCTCCCACAGTATGCCACGGGGTGGATCCCCAGAGCCTAGCACAGTGCCTGGCACAGAATGCATGCTCAGTAACTTGTTTAGTAATTTATGCCCCACGAGAAGTGTCACAGACAATGGAGGAGTCTTCACAGCTTGGAGTCGGTTCCAGGGCTGTTCCTCCTGCCAAAAACCAGAGCCAGATGAAGTCTCTTTCCTCCCAGACATCCTGCAGAGCTCTTTGGAACCAAGAGAGTGGCGAAGCTCTGTGCCTCAGAGCTCGGCTCGCCGGCCTCTTTCCCAGGGAGGACAGGTGACACACGGCCCGCGGAGTTGGAATGACAGGGCATGGGCATCCCTTTCTGCTGCAAACTGACTCTGGCTCCCTTCTGTGAAAAAGGGGCATAAGAATGCCTTCCTCGGCTGGGTACAGTGGCTCACGCCTATAATCCCAGCACTTTGGGAGGCTGAGGTGAGTGGATCATTTGAGGTCAGGAGTTCGAGACCAGCCTGGCCAACATGGTGAAACCCCGTCTTTACTAAAAATACAAAAATTAGCTGAGCGTGGTGGTGCGCACCTGTAATCCCAGCTACTTGGAGACTGAGGCAGGAAAATCACTTGAACCCAGGGGGCAGAGGTCACAGTGAGCCAAGATTGTGCCACTGCACTCCAGCCTGGGCAACAGAGCAAGACTCTGCCTCAAAAATAAATAAATAAATAAAAGAATGCCTCCTTCATAAGAGTGTCACAAACACTAAATAAGCAGCAGTTCCAAAATGAGAATGGTTTGTGCAGGGGGTGCCCTCATGGACCGTAAGAACTAAGTTCTTGATTTTTCTTTCAAAAATAGATTTGTCCAGCATTGCTGTTAAATATTCTTGCCAAAATAAGTGACTGTCCCATTGTAAATGGGTGTGAATAAGAAGGGACAAGTAGATGGATAAAATCAGGCAGATAGGCCCACAGTCAGCCTGACCTGCATTTGAACTTAACATAGAGGTGACTTGGGACAAGTCTCGACCTCTCCAAGCCTTGATTTCTTTGCCTGCAACATGGGGACATGAGAGTCATTTGGCAGTGTTGTGTGACAAGTGGATGAAATTAAAATGTGGGACACTTTGTAGGAAATCACAAATAATATTATTAATAAAAGCAGAAAAAATGCAAGCCAGACTAGGTGAGACTTATCAGTATGGGGCTTGGGGACAACCCTGGAGTCACATTGTATAATTCTAGTGGTTTGTTGTTCCTCTAGACTTCTTTTCTTTTCTTTTCTTGTCTTTTCTCTTTTTTCTTTTCTTTTTTTTGAAACAGGGTCTCACTCTGTCGCTCAGGCTGGTGGTCAATGGTGCAATCTCGGCTCACTGCAACCTCCACCTCCCAAGTTCAAGCGATTCTCCTGCATCAGCCTGTACTGTAATCCCGAGTAGCTGGGATTACAGGCTCGTGCCACTATGCCCAGCTAATTTTTGTATTTTAGTAGAAACAGGGTCTCACTCTGTTGGCCAAGCTAGTCATAAACTCCTGACCTCAAGTGATCCGCCCGCCTCAGCCTCCCAAAGTGCTGGGATTACAGGTGTGAGCCACCATGCTGGCCTTTTCTTTTCTTTTTTTCTTTCTTTCTTTTTTTTTTTTTTGAGACAGAGTTTCACTCTTGTTGCCCAGGCTGGAGTGCAATGGCACAATCTCGGCTCACCGCAACCTCCGCCTCCCAGATTCAAGCCATCCTCCTACCTCAGCCTCCCGAGTAGCTGGGATTACAAACACGCGCCACTATGCCCAGCTAATTTTTGTATTTTTTAGTAGAGATGGGGTTTCTCCATGTTGGTCAGGCTGGTCTCGAACTCCCAACCTCAGGTGATCCGCCCACCTCAGCCTCCCAAAGTGCTGGGATTACAGGCATGAGCCACCGCGCCTGGCTCAGCATTTTCTTTTCTTTTTTATGGCCAACTCTTAAACAGAAATTTCCTCTAGACTTTAACTGTAGAGTAAAGCATATGTGGTTGTTACTCGAGATGTAGCTTCTGTCATTCTGTTAACTTTTTGCGGCTATCATAATATCCCAGTTAACACACCCTTCCATGCCTTATTACAGAAGGGATCTGGGTGAGGCCCAGTTAGCATTTGGATCCTGGAGTCCGGAGTGGGTGGCCTGAGAGAGCAGCCCCAATAAGAAAGGGGACTCACAAAAATGTTCCTGCTTGTCTACAGCCCCCTTACTGTCTCCTGAGCAGACCCCAGAGCACTGACCCTGCTCCATTCCAGCCAGCAGCCCTGACACCTCACCAGGGCCTGGCTCCTGGCAGCTGCTGAGTTTGTTGAGTTGATTTGGAGAATGAGCCAGAAGCCCAGACAGACTAGATCTCCCTCTCTCCAGAGGTTCCAAGAACTGAGAATTGAGCCTGGGCTCCAGGGCTGGCTCTGCCTCAGGTGGCCCATCACAGTCTCACATTTCCGGATATACACAGTGGTGGGGAGGGGGTGTTGAATGGGGTCCTGTCCATCTAGCAGCCCACAGCTTGGGTCTCGTTGGATCCCTGTAGGCATACCACACATGCCCCGACCAGCCAACAGAACCTCCCTGTCCTCAAACCTCTCCCTCATTGTCCCCCTTCACCACATCACCTCCCAACCAGCACCCCCAGACTCACCACTCACAATGCCCACCGTTCCCCACATCCTACAGAATAGCACCCCCTGAGCACCAGGTCCTCCTGCTCCCATCCTCACTTTGTCCCAGTGCCTCTCCCTCCTGTACCTTCAGCCTCTCTGGTCTTTCCTGGCCCCTCTAAACAGGCTCTGCTCTGACCTCTGCCCTCCCCACTGATCCAGGGAAACTGTCCTGGCCAGCATCGGGGGCCTTGCTGTCCTTACAGGGCTCCATCTCCCAGCCTGGCTGACCACTCCTTTCTTCTTGACCTTCCCATTGACACCCCTCACCGCCCTCTGCTGTCCCCTTTCCTCTACTAATGCCTCTTCCTCCAACTCTCCGCCTGTCAGTGGTCCCCAGAAGTCAGCCTCCATCCCTTTCTCTCTTTGCTTTGGCCAGAAAATGATGCTCATGCCCTTGTCTTTGGCCCTGATCTCAGTCCTGAGCCCACAGCCTCTATATCCAGTTCCCTCCTCGGGAAGGCCGAGGCAGGAAAATGGACTCAGGAATGACCCACGACAAGCCCCATGACCAAAATCCCTCCCACCCTGCCCCTCCACCCCTCAGTCCCGACCATCTGCCCACCTGGGCATCATTCTAGACACCCTTTCACACACACAATCAAAGCCACCAACTGCCCGGCTCTGCCTCGGGTGGCCTATCACAGCCTCACATTCCAGATCTCTCTGTGAGCCCCAATGTGTAGACGCTGAAGTCTCTGTGCACATTACAGGTGATTCCTGGACTCGTTTAAATTCTGGGGTCCTCAGAATAGGGGCAGCCTCTAACTTGCTTCCCATACCAGGGCCCCCAGAACTCCCTCTGCATGAAGTGGTGACTCAGCCCCTTCCCCATGGACTCGCTGCCCCAGAACCGGCCTGCAGTAACCCATGCCAGCATGCCAGGACTATCCATTTCTATCCCAGGTAGATAATCTGTTAACCATAATCTCAGATGAAAGGAAGATTATTGCCCCTTACGCAGATCTAATCTGTCTTTGTCACCACCCTTGCCTGATAATGCAGGATTCCCTGAGGGCAGGGCAGAAAGCCTGGAGTTAGAAAGGGAAAGAACAGAATGTTCGGGATCACCCAGTCTAGTGCCTCCTTTTACACGGAAGGAAATGATGCCCAGAGACCGGCAGACACTTGCTCCAGGACTCCAGAAAAGCAACAGGGGCTGGGATTGGTCTCCTGACTCCCAAGCAGGGGCAGACAGCCAGGGGTCGGGGCTCGGTCCAACATTCTCTGCTGCCTCTTACTGTGCTCAAAGGTCATTTTAGATATGGTAGATATTCTGGTTAGCCTGTTAAGATCCTGGGAGGGTGTGGGGAAGAGGATTGGGGCGGGGAGGGAGGAGGGGCTTCAGGGGTTATCTCCAGAGGGGATATTACAGGGCTGCAGAGCAGACCAGGCCCGGTGGAGAATTAGGTGCTGCTGGGAGCTCCTGCCTCCCACAGGATTCCAGCTGCAGGGAGCCTCAGGGACTCTGGGCCGCACGGAGTTGGGGGCATTCCCCAGAGAGCGTCGCCATGGTCTGCAGGGAGCAGTTATCAAAGAATCAGGTCAAGTGGGTGTTTGCCGGCATTACCTGTGTGTCTGTGGTGGTCATTGCCGCAATAGTCCTTGCCATCACCCTGCGGCGGCCAGGTAGGTGCCTCCCCCCATGTCATCCTGAGTGGCTTCCCTCATCGCTCGCTCCTTATCCCCACTTCTCACTTACAGCTCTGACCAGTCCCTTTTTTTTTTTTAGACGGAGTTTTGCTCTTGTTGCCCAGGCTGGAGTACAATGGCACGATTCTCGGCTCACTGCAACCTCCGCCTCCCAGGTTCAAGCGATTCTCCTGCCTCAGCCTCCCGAGTAGCTGGGATTACAGGCACCCGCCACCACGCCCAGCTAATTTTTTGTAATTTTAGTAGAGATGGGGTTTCACCATGTTGGCCAGGCTGGTCTCGAACTCCTGACCTCAGGTGATCCACCTGCCTCAGCCTCTCAAAGTGCTGGGATTACAGGTGTGAGTCATCATGCCTGGCCAACCAGCTCTTCTTGAGCCCTCGTCCCCACCAAGCCTCATTCCCCCATCCACAGCTCTTTCTCTCTTCCATCCCCCAACCCTACATGACTTCATCCCCAGCAGAAAGTCCCGTTGACTTCCCCAGCAGAAAGTCCCGTTAACTATTTTTTTTGAGACGGAGTTTTCACTCTTGTCCCCCAGGCTGGAGTGCAATGGTGCAATCTCAACTCACTGCAGCCTCGGCCTCCTGGATCTAAGTGGTTTTCCTGCCTCAGCCCCACAAGTAGCTGGGATCACAGGCGTGTGCAACCATACCCAGCTAATTTTTTGTGGTTTTTTTTTTTGAAACGGAGTCTCTCTCTGTCGCCAGGCTGGAGTGTGATCTTGGCTCACTGCAACCTCCGCCTCCCAGGTTCAAGATATTCTCCTGCTTCAGCCTCCGGAGTAGCTGGGACTACAGGCGTGCGCCACCACGCTCAGCTAATTTTTGTATTTTTAGTACAGACGGGTTTCACCATGTTGGCCAGGATGGTCTTGATCTCTTGACCTCCTGATCTGCCCATCTTGGCCTCCCAAAGTTCTGGGATTACAGGCATGAGCCACCATACCTGGCCTTTTTTTTTTTTTTTTTTTTTTTGAGACAGAGTCTCACTCTGTCACTCAGCCTAGAGTGCGGTGACATGATATCGGCTCACTGCAACCTCCACCCCCTGGGCTCAAGCAATTCTTCCACCTCAGCCTCCCAAGTAGCTGGGATTACAGGTGGGCACCACCACACCAGACTAAATTTTTTGTATTTTTACTAGAGACGGGGTTTCACCATGTTGGCCAGGATGGTCTTGAACTCCTGACCTCAGGTGATCTGCCCACCTTGGCCTCCCAAAGTGCTGGGATTACAGGCATGAGCCACTGTGCCTGGCCCCCTTTAACTTTTTTTACTACTTCACTTGCCTGAAGACCATCAGATCTTGGCTTTCAGCCCAGACCTTCCTCCTGTGCCCTTCTTGGGAGTCACACAAGCAATCTCAAACTCAGCAGACTAGGCTGAGCTCATCTCTTCCCCCCAACAGCTGCTCACCCCTGCAGCCTCTCAGTGAAGGGCTCCTCCATTCACACAGGTACCTGGAGTAGCCACCATGCCCCCACCTCATGCCTGTGTTCCTCAGTCCTGAGCCTCAAGGGCTCTGCCTTTCTGCCCTCTGCCCTCCAGCCCTCCAGCCCTGCCCTGTGAGAAGCTTCGAAGTCTCCTCCTGGACCCCTCTTACAAGGTCCCTCTGCCTGCTTTTGTCAGCTCCTGTTAGCTCTGCAGCCCAGATCTTTCCAAGCAACCCTCGCTCACTGCCCTCAGCACACAGCAACTCCTTTGCTAAAGTTCGAGGCCATTCACAACCTGATCCCAACGTTCTTCCAATCTTTTATCTTTTTTTAAAATTTTATTTATTTATTTATTTATTTTGAGACAGAGTCTTGCTCTGTCGCCCAGACTGGAGTGCAGTAGCATGATCTGGGTTCAGTGCAACCTCCGCCTCCCAGGTTCAAGCAATTCTTTTGCCTCAGCCTCCCCAGTAGCTGGGATTACAGGCATGGACCACCACGCCCAGCTAATTTTTCTATTTTTAGTAGAGATGGGGTTTCACCATGTTGGCCAGGCTGATCGTGAACTCCTGAACTCAGGTGATCCGCCTGCCTCGGTCTCCCAAAGTGCTGGGATTACAGGCGTCAGCCGCCGCGCGCAGGTTTTTTTTTTTTTTTGAGACAGTGTCTCACTGTGTCACCCAGGATGGAGTGCAGTGGCATGATCTCCGGCTCACTGCAACCTCTGTCTCCCAGGTTCAAGTGATTCTCTGCCTTGGCCTCCCCAGTGGTTGGGATTACAGGCGCATGCCACTAAACCCAACTAATTTTTTGTATTTTTAGTAGAGATGGGGTTTCGCCATGTTGCCCAGGCTGGTCTTGAACTCCTGAGCTCAGGCAATCCACCCACCTCGGCTTCCCAAAGTGCTAGGATTACAGGTGTGAGCCACCAAACCCAGCCTTTTTTTTTTTTTTTTTTTTTTTTTTTTTTTTGACAGAGTCTCTTTGTGTCATCCAGGCTGAGTACAGTGGTGCAATCTCGGCTCACTACAACCTCCACCTCTCGGGTTCAGGTGATTCTCCTGCTTCAGCCTCCCGAGTAGCTGGGATTACAGGCTCCTGCCACCACGTCCATCCCGCTAATTTTTGTATGTGTAGTAGAGACATGGTTTCACCATGTTGGCCAGGCTGGTCTCGAACTCCTAATCTCAGGTGATCCACCCACCTCGGCCTCCCAAAGTGCTGGGATTACAGGCTCCTGCCACCACGTCCATCCAGCTAATTTTTGTATGTGTAGTAGAGACATGGTTTCACCATGTTGGCCAGGCTGGTCTCGAACTCCTAATCTCAGGTGATCCACCCACCTCGGCCTCCCAAAGTGCTGGGATTACAGGCATGAGCCACCATGCCCGGCCCCCTCTTCCAATCTTTCCACATTCCACTTTTATGTTCCATCTCTACCAGGCCAATGGCTCTTCAGGCAACTGCACTCTCCTGAAGCCAAGCCTTTGCTTTCTCTCTGTCTGGAATAACCTATTCTCCCTTGTCTGTGAAATTTACACCCATCCTTCAAGGTCTTCCTTAAGTGTTCCCTTCTCTGTGAACCTGCCCCCTTTCCTGACTGCCTCAGGCTGGTAATGAGGCTTCCTTGGGCCCCAGGAGCCCATTCATTTCCCTCTATTGTAGCACCAGTGAGTCTGAGCCTCACCGTCCCTCTGCCAGATGGGGTACTGGACACAGTGGGAGCCCAGGGAGGGTCATGGGATGAACGAACATGAGTCTTGGGCTGGGGCGAGGACAGACGCTAACAGCCCCTTGGGATTCCTTCCAGGCTGTGAGCTGGAGGCCTGCAGCCCTGATGCCGACATGCTGGACTACCTGCTGAGCCTGGGCCAGATCAGCCGGCGAGATGCCTTGGAGGTCACCTGGTACCACGCAGCCAACAGCAAGAAAGCCATGACAGCTGCCCTGAACAGTAAGTCCAGCTGCCAAGACTGAGGCAGGCCAGGGCAAGGGATAGAGAAGACAGAGGGAGAGAAGTGAGGATCAGACACTGGTCACTGTGGTGGCATGATGGCTGTTTACATGTCTTTCAGCATGAGGAAATAGGGGCTCAGAGGGGTTAAGTGACCAGCTCAAGGTTGTGCAGCTGACAAACTCTGAGCTTAGATTTAAACCACATGTCTGACTCCAAAGTAATGACTATACTGTCCTCCCTCCCAGCTACCCCTTCCTCGACCTGTCAGGGACCAAACTGTAAGGAAGCCTTTACCTTCAAAGCCTCAAGAAGCCAGAAATCTGCACTTCAAAAATGGTTACAGTAACCAGTTGGCCAAGGCTCACTGGGCGCACATTACACACAGGTTCTCCTGGGACTACCATGCAATCTGTTTCATGGGTAACATTTCACAGGAGAAAAATAGAGGCTCAGAAAAGTTAGGTGACTTAGCCAAGGTTACACTGTCTGAAAGCAGTTAAGCCAACATTGGAGCCCAGAGTGGTCAGTCCCAGAGTGCACGCTCCAAGCCACTGCGTGACGCTTGACCCCCACCCTCTCCTTCAGGGCTGTTGGGAAGCTCAGTAGATAATGTTCACGAACATGCTAGTGAACTTTAAAGCAGTAGCTATAAAAGATGAAGGGAACAGTCCTCAAACCTGGGCACGTTTCAGAAGACACAGGCTGCTGGCCCCACCCTCAAGTGATGCTGAGGCTGCTGGCCCCAGGACCAACTTTGAGAATCACTGCTCAAGCAAACTCCTTCCATTTCAGACAAGGAAACTGGGGTCTGAGGGCTGGTAGAATGACCAAATCAACCAAAGCAGGGCTCTTTTGAGGTCATTATTAATAATTACGCTGAAGCAACAGAAATATACCAGATGGCCCCTTACACTAGTTAAGCAATCAACTCCATATAAATAATTAACACTTAGTGAATGCCTAACCAGGGATATTTTATTATTTAATTCTTGTAGATGAGGAAACAGGCAAAAAAAGATCAAATAACCTTCCCAAGATCACACAGCTGGAAAGTGTTAGGGTGGGGACTGGAAGCTAGCAGTGTCAATTCACGGTCTGCACACAGCCACCGCGAGCTCCTGCAGATGGGTAAAGCTGGCACAAGGAGGGCTATTGACTCCATGTCCCCTTCCCTCCTGAATATGGCTTCCTGAGGACCAGGGCTACAGCTGTGGCCACAGGAAACAAATCCTTTCCTCTCATCTCTTTCTCCTCCTTCACTTCCCACCCCCAAGCAAGTCAGCCCCCAGGTTCAGCCTCTGGAAGGCAAGTCACAATTTTTAAGGTGAAAAGAGTTTTTGTTTGTTTGTTTGTTTTGAGACAGGATCTTGCTCTGTTGCCCAGGCTGGAGTGCACTGGTGTGATCTTGGCTCACTGCAACCTCCACCTCCCAGGTTCAAGTGATTCTTCCTGCCTTAGCCTCCCGAGTAGCTGGGATTACAGGAACCCACTACCATGCCTGGCTAATTTTTGTATTTTTAGTAGAGATGGGTTTTCACCATGTTGACCAGGCTAGTCTCGAACTCCTAAACTCAAGTGATCCGCCCTTCTCGGGCTCCCAAAGTGCTAGGATTACAGGTCTGAGCCACCGCGCCCGGCTGAGGAGGTGATTTTTTTAAGCCAACACTAAAGGATGAGCAGGAGGTGCCATAGTAAAGTTGAGAGAAGAGTGTTGCCAGGCAACAGCCCAGAGATGGGGAGGACAAAACAAATTAAAGCCTTGCTACCCAACGTGTGGCCCATGGACCAGCAGCAGGCGCATCCCTGGGGAGTGTGTTAAAAATGCAGAATCTCGGGCCAGGCCTGGTGGCTCATGCCTGTAATTCCAGCAGTTTGGGAGGCTGAGGCGGGTGGATCACCTGAGGTCAGGAGTTCGAGACAAGGCTGACTGATATGGTGAAACCGCATCTCCACTAAAAGTACAAAAATTAGCCGTGCATGGTGGTGGTGCATACCTGTAGTCCCAGCTACTCAGGAGGCTGAGGCAGGAGAATCACTTGAACCCAGCAGGCAGAGGTTGCAGTGAGCCGTGATCACGCCACAGCACTCCAGCCTGGGCAACAGAGCGAGACTTCATAAAAAAAAAAAAAAAAAAAAAAAAAAAAAAAAAAATCTCAGGCCCTGCTGCAGACCTAGTGATCAGAACATGCATTTTTACAGTTCCTGGGGGATCTATGTGCACATTAAAGTTGGAGAAGCTGGGTGCCTGGAACTCAGAGAATGAAGGAGAGTGGAACGTGAGATGAAATTGGAAAATCTGGCAGGCCCTGATTGTACAGACCACGAAGACTATGATAAAGAGTTTGGGTTTCAAGTTTAGAGCAATGGGTAGGTTTTCTGGCCTTTTTTTTTTTTTTTTTAACAGAAAGTGACATGATCAGGTACATATTTAGGACACTCACTTTGCCGGCTCTATAGAGAACAGACTTGCAGGGAAGCAGTGCTAGAGGTGAGAAGAATGGTCAGGAGTCAGGGAGAAAGCAGGAGAAAAGGCCCCTTCTGGCATCAGTCGTTTGTGATGCTGCAAGGGCCAAAAGCGGCCCCTCTCCCCTCCACTACACTCTTCAAGTGTGAGTGCCCCTTGCATGATTATCTAGAGACAGCTTCCCATTAGAAAGGTCTGAGCTCCCTACTAGACTGAATTCTTGAAGGCAGGAATCAGAAGATGTCCACCTGATTGAGTTAACTATGTGAAGCTAAAAGATAACTCAGTGTCAGTGATGATGTGGTGAGATGGGCAACCTTGTGCAGGAACAAGAATCAGAACAACTTTTCCGGAAAGCAGTTTGATAACATGGGCTTTAAAAATGACCCTGTGGGCTGGGCACTGAGACTCACCTGTAATCTCAACACTTTGAGAGGCCAAAGTGGGAGGATTGCTTGAGCCCAGGAGTTCAAGACCAGACAGGGCAACATAGCAAGACTAATAGCAAAAATCAGAAACTTACCAAAGCATCTCAGGGATGGGGGATGATCAACTACATAGTAGTGAACACCCTCAACCAGGGCTTTTGAAGCTTTTTGCTTTTTTGCCTTGTTTGCTCTAAAGAGATGCATAAAAAAAGATCGTGGAAATGTGTCATAATGTTGAAAAAACATAAAAAATTATAAATGCAGTGGAGTCTCAACTGTGTAAAAACTATGCATAGGGCCGGGCACGGTGGCTCACGCCTGTAATCCCAGCACTTTGGGAGGCTGAGGTGGGCGGATCACTTGAGGTCAGGAGTTCTGAGAGCAGCCTGGCCAATATGGTGAAACCCCGTCTCCACTAAATACAAAAATTAGCTAGGCATGGTGGCACACGCCTGTAAATTCCAGCTACTTGGGAGGCTGAGGCAGGAGAATTTCAAGAATTGCTTGAAACTGGGAGGTGGAGCTTGTAGTGAGCCAAGATCACACCACTGCACTCCAGCCTGGGCGATAGAGCAAGACTCCGTCTCAAAAAAAAAACAAAAACCTATGCATAGAAGAAAATGGAAGAAAAAAAATCATCGAAATGTGAAACTATGATGGAAGTGTGGGTGAATATTTTCCTCTTCCACTTTTCTGTATTTCTCAAATGTTCTGTAATTTGTAATGCTTTTATGATGAGAAAGAAGTTTTCTTTTTTTAAAAAAAGGAACTCACTGAGTTGTTGCCCCTTCCACAGGCAACATCACAGTCCTGGAGGCTGACGTCAATGTAGAAGGGCTCGGCACAGCCAATGAGACAGGAGTTCCCATCATGGCACACCCCCCCACTATCTACAGTGACAACACACTGGAGCAGTGGCTGGACGCTGTGCTGGGCTCTTCCCAAAAGGGTAAGGGCCTCTCTGGAAACCCTCTCCGGCCCCCAGCCCTCTGGCCCTGGGGCAGCATGTGCAGAGATCCCTCACTGGGAAGCAAGTCCAGCCCTGACACGAGGTGCTCATTGCCTTGGCTTTCTCATCACAATGTTATAGATGCCCAGGCTCAGTGAGGACTAGGCGAGATGGGGAGCATGTCAGTGCAGGTCCTGGTGTTTTCTCCTGGACACAGAGGGGAGACAGCCGGCAGTACAGTGTGAACTGCAAAGTGCCGCGCATGCTCAGAGTGCTCCCTCCTGTATCCACAGAACTGGACGTAACATGTTCAAAGCCCAGCCCCACCCTTCCCCTCTGCACCCCTTCACCAGTCACAGTCAGAATCCAGGCGTCACCATAATGCCTCCCTCTCCCTCATCCTCACGGCAACTCAGTTGCTGCATCCACCAATCCTAACCCCTAACCCTGCCCCCATCTAGTCGCAGCAACACTGTATCTCTCCAGGACCTCCCTCCTCACTGGCTTCCTGCCCCAAATTCAGCCCTTCCAGGCTTCCCTTGACTACCATGACCACACACACGCACCTGAAGGATCTTTTCAAAACACCAGTTTTGTCATGCCACGCCTCTCTTTTAACCCTCCGTGGCTCCCCATTGTCCTCAGGAAAAAGTGTGATCTTGGCCTGGCTTTCAACATCCCTCTATATCTTCCTAGCCTCATCTCCTCACCACCCTGAAAAGTACCAAGTCCTTTCTCTGCAGAGATCTCCTCCTCTACTCAAATGCACCTTCTTGGAGGCTGAGTAACCTCCCTACAGGCTCTGGTGGTTTAGGACCCTCTGAGTCTGCCCTGCTCAGGAACCACAGGCCCTTTTCAGCAGAGACTTGATTCCCAGCTGCAGCAGCCACAAGCCCAAGTCCTTACCTGGCCTCTGTTTCCTCCCCGCAGGAGATGGGAACTCCTCTAGAGGCAGGCCCTTCTTCTCTGAGTTAGCTCTGTCTCTTCGAAAGGCCTTCCTCACACCCTGCAGGGATGTGGTGCTGGTCCTTCCGCCCTCCCCTGACTCCACTGTGCACGCACATGCACACACACACACACCCGCTCTGCTTTCTGCCCAGGGAGTCATGTATTCCTAGTTCCTTCGCCATTTCCCCAAGCCCTTGTTCCTTTCCCCACAGGCATCAAACTGGACTTCAAGAACATCAAGGCAGTGGGCCCCTCCCTGGACCTCCTGCGGCAGCTGACAGAGGAAGGCAAAGTCCGGCGGCCCATATGGATCAACGCTGACATCTTAAAGGGCCCCAACATGCTCATCTCAACTGAGGTCAATGCCACACAGTGAGTGTTCGCCTCTCTGTCCCAGCTGTGTCCAGCCCTCTTCTGTCAACACCTACCACAGGATGGGGATCTTAGGGGACCTCTGAGTTTGTCTCCAATCATACTATATATAGCCTCACCTCTGAGCCTTTGCACATGCTGTTCCCTCTTCCTCCAATGCCTTTCCCCCCTTTTCTGACAAACCACTGGCCAGTCATTATCTCCTAGAAACTTCCTTGACATCTTAGGCCACTGCAGGACTTCCTCTGGGCCCCTCAACCCCTACACTTCCTTCTAACACAGCCCTGACTTCATGGGGCTGTCACTGGGTGTTCATAGATTTGTCACCCCTACTACATTGAACTCCTGGAGGGCAGACAGGGCCAAGTGCCCCCTTGTATTCCCCAGTGACCAGCACAGGATTTGGCCTGCTAGAGAAGTCTAAAACCTTGATTCCTTCCCCAGCTGGAATTCCCCTCATGAATTCCAGCACCGCTGCTCACAGCCCTCACATACAGTAGTTGCACAGTGCTCTACAGTTTACAAAGAGAGAGAATGTCTTTGATCTCATCCTTACATAGCACTGCCAGGTTAGGGCTTTCTCCCCATATTGCAGATGATAAAGCTGACAATAGTGGAAGCTCAATTTGTTCGAAGTTTATTATGTGTCCCAGAACTGTTTTAAGCACTTGACTTGCAGAACACCGTTTAACTCTTATGAGAATGAGGTAGGTAGTATTACTTTTATTTTATTAATGCAGGAACTATATTATAGAAGTTAAAAGACCTGCCTAAGTCTGGTAAGTGGCAGAGCAAAGATTCAAACCCAGGCCTTTCTGATTCTAAGCTCCAGGCTCTTTCCCATCCATCTCTTCCTCCATCCATCCAATTTATTATTGTGCTTCTCAAGCTGAGGTGCCTTCCAAAAATAGCAGTTTGGAAAATGTAATCAATGGCCCAAGATAAATATGACCTGTCTTCCTGGAGTGCTAATTTTACTCAGTAGGGTTTTTTTGGGTGGGCAGTGGGTGGCAACATAATTTGCCTATTAAAGTTTGCATCTTTTGAAGAAGAAAAGTACAAAGAAAAAAACTAAAATATTTTCATCAAGGCAAAGTTCAAATAAAATTTTAGGCTGGGCACAGTGGCTCACACCTATAATCCCAGTACTTTGGGAGGCCAAGGTGAGCGGATCCCTTGAACTCAGGAGTTTGAGACCAGCCTGGGCAACACAGCGAGACCACGTATAGAAAGAAAAGAGAGAAAGACATGAAGGGAAGAAAAGGGAGGGAGGGAAGGAGGGAGGAAAGCAGGAAGACAGGAAAAAAAGTTTTTTTTTTTTGAGATGGAGTCTCACTCTGTTGCCCAAGTTGGAATGCAATGGCACGATCTCAGCTCACCACAACCTCCGCCTCCTGGGTTCAAGCGATTTTCCTGCCTCAGCCTCCCAAGTAGCTGGGATTATAGCCATGCGCCACCACGTTCAGCTAATTTTGTATTTTTAGTAGAGACAGGGTTTCTCCATGTTGGTCAGGCTGGTCTCGAACTCCCAACCTCAGGTGATTCACCTGCCTCAGCCTCCCAAAGTGCTGGGATTACAGGTGTGAGCCACCACACCTGGCAGGAGGGAGATTTTTAAAGAAAACCTGAGAAACTTCAGAGACTCCCAGCTGGCAGAGCTCAGATTCCCACACGCTGGGGGCTCTGAGTCAGTTTCCTGTCTATATGAGGATGTTTAAGAAGCCTGCCCTGCTGGAAGGGATGCTGTCTATGAGGCTGAGTTACCTGCCCAAGATCAGAATCAGGATCTGAACCCAGACTTCCCTGACTCCAAAGTCCACGCCCAATTTATGGGACCTGAAACAAGCCATTCTGTCCTTTGGGACTCTGCTTCTGACCTTATCATAGATCCAATAGGCTCTGCCACTCCCTAGCACTGTGATGAGACCCCAGAGGAGAGGAAGGGGCCGCTGCAGCTCCGTGAGACCAACATCTCTGATTTTTTTGCAGGTTCCTGGCCCTGGTCCAGGAGAAGTATCCCAAGGCTACCCTATCTCCAGGCTGGACCACCTTCTACATGTCCACGTCCCCAAACAGGACGTACACCCAAGCCATGGTGGAGAAGATGCACGAGCTGGTGGGAGGAGTGCCCCAGAGGGTCACCTTCCCTGTACGGTCTTCCATGGTGCGGGCTGCCTGGCCCCACTTCAGCTGGCTGCTGAGCCAATCTGAGAGGTGAAAACCACCAAACCCACCCCCACCCTCCTGGAGGCACTGATGCCCCCAGCAAGATCCCAGAAGCTCATGGCTGGAAGGGTCTTAAAGGTCATTTCGTCCAACCCCTGCCAGTGCTCATGCCCTCTGCAGAGTCCCTGCTTTCTGCTTGCATACCTCTGGTGACGGGCTACTCACTACCTCCCAAGAGAGCCCTTTCATTGGTGGGTAATTCTCTGCCCTCTGGAAAATATTTATACCAAGACACAATTTGTCTCCCCACAGCTTCCTCCAATAGGAGCCCGCTGTACCCCTGGGGCTACACAGATTGTGCCTTTAACCCCTGCCCTAGGATAGCCCTATAGGAATTTAGAGACTCCCCTGCCCCCACTATACCCCCTACCTTCCATAGGACTCCCAAAGCTGCCCCCTCCCCCTCTTGATGCCTGACCTACCCTTCCACACCCTCCCCCATCTGTCCTGCCCCTTTCCTAAGACAGGACTCAGAAATAGACACTGCAAGTGAGGAGGCAGCACAGGCTCCCCCTCCCTCCTGGGCCTCTGCTTTCAGTCATCTTTCCTGAATTCCCTCTGGCTCCTGCCCTTGGGAAGGGGTAGGACTCAGGGAGAAGTGGCAGGTGGGCGACTGGAGGACAGATGCTCTACCCTGCGCCCAGCTGACATCCAGTTCTGAGCACAGGAGTGGGGCTGAGGGTCTTGCTGGGCCCAGACAGGCACTGAGCCAGCTCTCGTGTCCCCAGGTACAGCCTGACGCTGTGGCAGGCTGCCTCGGACCCCATGTCGGTGGAAGATCTGCTCTACGTCCGGGATAACACTGCTGTCCACCAAGTCTACTATGACATCTTTGAGCCTCTCCTGTCACAGTTCAAGCAGCTGGCCTGTAAGGAGAGGAATTGGGAAGGGTGGTGTGGGCTGGATTCTGCATGGAGCAGCACCTGGTGGGCACTGGAGCAGAGCTGGGTGGAAGGGATATCAGAAGGGGGAAGGCCGGGGTGGGACAGGAGGCGGCTGCATTTTGTGTGCCAGGCCCTGGGATGGTATGCTAAGCTTCAAACATCCATTTTATTTTTATTTATTTATTTTTTTGAGATGTAGTCTGACTCTGTCACCCAGGCTGGAGTGCAGCGGCGCAATCTCGGCTCCCTGTAACCTCCGCCTCCTGGGTTCAAGCGATTCTCCTGCGCCACCATGCCCGGCTAATTTTTGTATTTTTAATAGAGATGGGGTTTCACCATGTTGGGCCAGGCTGGTCTCGAACTTCTGCCCTCAAGTGATCCGCCCGCCTTGGCCTCCCAAAGTACTGGGATTACAGGCATGAGCCACCTGCCTGACCCACACATTCATTTTATAGAGAAACTGAGGGATTCCATTTTATAGAGAAACAGCGGCTCAAAACAGTTCAGGAATTTATACAGTCACTCAGCTTTTATGTGGCCCAGCAGGTAGGAAACCAGCAAATTCCAAACCCCCCATTATTTCCCTTGGTGCATAGCTCCACTGCTGGTTACTCTAATGTTTCAGAGGCCTCCACTGTATTCATTAAGCAGTGATCAGATGCCACTATCCAAACCCCTCATTCCCTTGACCCCGAACCCAGAAGAGCCGCAGTTAAGCCATCTCAAAGAGGCCCCATCAGACTCAGCATTCCTGCCATGGGAGCCACCTAAGCGAGCGGGAAGGATACCAGCTCTGGAGCCAGGCAGACCTGGTCCCATCAGGTTCCACTCCTGGCAACTTTGCTTACTGCTTATAAGACCTTGGGCAAGTCACTTCTTCTAGTCTACAAGGCAAGGAAATGAGAGCTACTTGGCAGGGTGCTATGAGGCTTAGAGAGGATGCCCGTAGAGCTGTGGCCTATGGGACCCTAGCAACCAGGTAAGGTGTTCTGTGAATGGCAGCCACTTCACCTTGGCGATTTGGGGCCCCACAGTGAATGCCACACGGAAACCAATGTACTACACGGGAGGCAGCCTGATCCCTCTTCTCCAGCTGCCTGGGGATGACGGTCTGAATGTGGAGTGGCTGGTTCCTGACGTCCAGGGCAGCGGTAAAACAGCAACAATGACCCTCCCAGGTAAGGTCTACCCTTCAGCCCCGGTGCTCCCAGCTCATCTGCAGGGGTGTCCTTTGCTTGGGGCAGGTACCGCCGGTCTCTGTTGCCATGGCAACACAGGTTTATTTACACCATACCCTGGATGCAAGGTGGGGCAGGGTTGCGGGGAGGGAGAGGGAGTACAGTGATGTCAAGAGCACAGGGCTCCTGGCCTTCAGACCAGTCCTCAGCTACATTGCTGCAGGCAAGGCCGGCACCAGCCCCCAGGCTGAGTCATGGGTAAAGGCCAAGAGCTGAAACAAGAGTTTCTCATGCACCAGGCACATTTATAAAGCAACCCATCCACCTGGAGCCCAAAACTGGGTTGACAGATTCCAGAGAGGCAAGGTCCTTGATGACCCCATAACTCCCACTGCCCCTTTAACAAGGGACTCTTAACACCTTATGATAACCCAAATCCTAAACACTGTTGCCTCTGCCGCCTCTTCCAGACACAGAAGGCATGATCCTGCTGAACACTGGCCTCGAGGGAACTGTGGCTGAAAACCCCGTGCCCATTGTTCATACTCCAAGTGGCAACATCCTGACGCTGGAGTCCTGCCTGCAGCAGCTGGCCACACATCCCGGACACTGGGGCATCCATTTGCAAATAGCGGAGCCCGCAGCCCTCCGGCCATCCCTGGCCTTGCTGGCACGCCTCTCCAGCCTTGGCCTCTTGCATTGGCCTGTGTGGGTTGGGGCCAAAATCTCCCACGGGAGTTTTTCGGTCCCCGGCCATGTGGCTGGCAGAGAGCTGCTTACAGCTGTGGCTGAGGTCTTCCCCCACGTGACTGTGGCACCAGGCTGGCCTGAGGAGGTGCTGGGCAGTGGCTACAGGGAACAGCTGCTCACAGATATGCTAGAGTTGTGCCAGGGGCTCTGGCAACCTGTGTCCTTCCAGATGCAGGCCATGCTGCTGGGCCACAGCACAGCTGGAGCCATAGGCAGGCTGCTGGCATCCTCCCCCCGGGCCACCGTCACAGTGGAGCACAACCCAGCTGGGGGCGACTATGCCTCTGTGAGGACAGCATTGCTGGCAGCTAGGGCTGTGGACAGGACCCGAGTCTACTACAGGCTACCCCAGGGCTACCACAAGGACTTGCTGGCTCATGTTGGTAGAAACTGAGCACCCAGGGGTGGTGGGCCAGCGGACCTCAGGGCGGAGGCTTCCCACGGGGAGGCAGGAAGAAATAAAGGTCTTTGGCTTTCTCCAGGCACTGTATGTGAGTCCTTGGGGACAGGATGGAGTGGGAGTGGGCATGATGTGGCCACTGAGGGCATCTAGAGGGTCTGGAGGCTGGGGGCCAGATCATTCCGGTTGTCCAAGAGAAACTGCTCACAAGCCTTGAAGGTGGTGTAGAACTCAGAGGAGAGGCCGGCCACGTTGGTGGTCACATAGTTGAGAACACCTGGGGTGGCCTGGTTGTAGTAGGATACCTGCAGGGTGGGAAGCCAAGCTCAGGGGGACCAAGCTAGGGGAGGGTCCTGGGAAGGGGTGGGAGCCCAGTGGGCACGAGGCTGGTGGTGAGTCAGCCTTGCTGGCCTTCTGGGAGGGCAGAATATTCAACCCAACTCCCCAGGGTCTTAGATTACACAGTTGCCCAGCATGACCTCCTCCAGCTGATCTCCCCCAACCCTTCCTCGGGCACTGACAACCCTGGCTTCCCACACCACACACCACATTGTCATCATGCATCTTCCCCGCCAGCCAGAGGCCCTGGAGGGCAGGGGCTGCATCTCCAGGGCCCAGCTCTGAATCTCGGCCATAGAGACACATTAGACATTAGCCCAGGGATGGTTCTGAGGCGCTCATGGGTTCAAGCATATGAATTCAGCAAACACCGGCTGAGTCTCTGCTGGGTGAGTCTCAAGGCCAGACCCAGGCTGCAGGGCCCTAATAGAAGCTGTGAGGGGGGAGGCTGCAGTACCCCACCCTCGCTTTCCCTCAGCCTCCTCCCCATGTTTTCCATCAACACGGACTGCGCTGCTGGGTTTTATGGGCCCTCAGAGTCATATAAAGCCTTCCTAGATGAGAAGGGCTATCCAAGTGAATGACGAGTGAGATGGAATTTCAGTTCAGAACCCAGGCCTTCTGCCTTCAGCACCCAGAGCTTTTTCCAAGACCATGCAGTGGCCTCTGACTTACCTGTACACAGATTAGATCATTTTCAGCCCCTGACACTCTCAGGCTCCCCCAGGCTGGAAGGGGGAGCCTGCTGGGGGGCCAGCTCTGAGACTATCCTAGCCCAGCAGTGCTGAGCTCAATACACGTGTGGTGTTGGGGTGGAGCCAGGCTGGGGGCGTGGTTGGGGGGACCGGCCTCACCTTGGTCAGCTGGTCCCCCTCGCGCCAGAGGCAGAAGCCTGAGCAGAGGGTCTCTCCGCGTCTGTACTCTGGCGTCTCTCGGTGTGTGGGCAGCGTGACCGACCTCAGCGCGATGACATAGGGGTCCCTGAGTGAAGGAAGGGTAGCAAGGGGACAGGGGTCAGCCACAGAAGAAAGTGGGGGCCTGTTCTGCCCAACCAAGGCCGAGACCCTGCCCCCTCTAGCACAGATTCCTCACCAGGGGGATGCAAGGCACATCGACTCTTAAAGCCCCAATGCGGGGCTCAGGGCCAGGCTGGAGGGAGGAGGTACCTGTGGGTTAGCACTGAATTCACCAGGAGCCAACCTGACTTCACTGTGGACTTTCTGGAAAAGCCACTCCACTTCAACGCTCAGGGGAAGACTCGTGGGCTTTGGGATTTTTTTTCTGTCCCTGTCTCTCCAGCAAAAGAGATGTTTAGGCCCTCCAGCCCACACAGGGCTGTCAGAGGGAGGAGGCCAAGGAGGTGGCCACGTGAGAAATATCCTGCCCAAGGCCTGCATCGAGGCAGCCTGAGCCACCCTGGGTAAGGGTGGCCCTGCTCTAGGGAATGCGACAAGAGGGGAAATGTGTGCCCCTATCCCTCATTTTACCCATAGTAAAGCCACAGCAGCCCAGAAAAGTCTAGTGGTGCCTGGGGCCCCACAGCCAATGGGAAGCAGAGCTCTGGCTCCAGGCTGATGCCCTTCCCTGGGAGGGAGAAGCGGCCACCCTACCACCCTGTCCAGTTGTGTCCCCCACCCCACAGCAGATAGGCACACACCCATTGTCACAAGGCTTCCGCCTCGAGGCCAGGATCACGAAGTCCTGGGGCTTTGTGTGACCTCCGAGGGCAGGGCTGGTGACGTGGTAGATGGCGTCGTCCTCGTCTACCTGCTGCACTAGCTCCACGCTCCTGTGGGGAGGCCGGGATCTCAGTGCCCCAGGAAGCTTCCAGCTCCCATGCAAGCAGCGGGTCTGCCCGGGCCCTGCCACACTGCAGTGCCTGAGCAGCTTCTGTGATGGGATGTCACCCCCTGTACTGCTCAGCAAGGGCCAGCAGGAAGGCAGCAAAGCCCAGCCAAGATGGACACACATGTGCGTGTGCACACACAGGCACATGTAGACATGCATGCAAGTAAATGAACACATACACACAGACATGGGAACAAAGATGTGCACATACATGCACACATGTGGTCATATGTGCACAGGCACATGGACAGACATCAGTGTACACAGAGACCCACGTGTGTCTATACATGTCTGCGCAGGTGCAGACACCACAAGGATGTGTGATGATTTAGCAGTTGTTCTTAATATTTACTGAGCGCCCACTGAGTGCCAGGTGCTGTTCTAAATGCTTTACATGTGTCACTTAATCTCCATAACAGCCCCATGCTGTAGACGCTTTTAGTATTCCTATCTCATAGATGAGGAAGATAACCTGCCCACGGCCACAGAGCTAATAAGGAAGCAGGGCTGGGGTGTGTCCAGGCTATCAGGTGGCAGAGATGTATCCCCAGGCCCAGGCACCTGACACATACATGCATGGGCATACACAGGTTCATACCAACACGTGCACCCACACAAGGACACCCACACAGAGGCAGGCATGGCCATGTCCAGACCCACCTCCTCCTCCCCACTCCCCTGCCTGCACTCAGCAGTAGGCAGGGTATGGGGAAGAAACTAGGGGCTCTCTTTCCCCTCAGGCCACTCCCCCACAAATCCCATCAAGTATCAAGATTTGGTCTGGCCTTCAAGGCCCACCCCAGCCTCCCTCCAAGAAGCCCACCTACCACATGCACAACCGCCCTCCCCCTACACGACATCCACCACCAAATCACCTCTCTGCCTTCTGGAAGGGGACAACCAGCAGGCCTGAGTCAGCTGGGCCAGGGCTTTTTAAGGCAACATGGCCCTTTTTGCAAAGACACCTTCAGCAGGAAGCCCATGTATAAAGAGCTACAAGCCTGCTCTGGAGAAAATAGATGGGGTGGGAAGGGGAAAGCCAGTTTGTCAAAATACAATTCACCAAGTGACCAGCGGACTGAATTTCCAAACACACAGAACCTCCTTACGGAAATTCTCCAGAATGTAGGCTCCTCATAACAAGCAATTATCAAAGAACCCCCTCGAGCCCCGGTGATGGCAGAACAGAAAATGACTTTAAGGGGACTTGAAAAACACAAATTTTGCTATTTTCCTAAGAACATATTTATCTTCCTTGACTAAATTCGAGAAGAAGATAGTCATGTGAACAATCAATAAATTTGGAGGAACAAATGTATGTAAAGGAATAACATATTTCTATTCATAATCATTCATTATATTCAAAAATAATATATTTGTGAGGAAAATCAGCAAACTTGGTAAGTTCAACAAACTGGCCATGCTATGTCCCGATCACCCTTCATCCTTCCAACTCCACCCCCAGCAGTTCCGGAAGCCCCTTTGGGAACACAGAACTCCACAGCACATGGTTTGAAAATCAGTATCTCTGAGTGTGAATCCATGACCCGCCATCCAAGCATCCATTTTAAGAAGAGAGAAACTGAGGCCAGAAAGGAAGTGACTTTGACTTATCCAATGTCACACAGCTGGTTGGGACAGAAGCAGGACTTCAACTCAAGCCTCCAGCTCTAATTCCGTGCTCAGTCTCTTCCCTAAGGGCTCAAAATACCCATGACCCTGAACCCCCACCCAGCATGGAACTCCAACCCACCCCCAGCCCCAGCAGGGCAGAGCATCATGGAGGATGACCCGCAGAAGGAGACACTCTCTCCCTCATCAGGCCGGAGAAGGGACACTGCCCTGCCCTCACCCTGGCCCCTCACCGGTAGTGCTTGTCCCACTCTGGCCTCTGACGCAGGTCCGAGAGCAGCAGGAAGGCCTGGGCTGCATCCACATGCACCACCATCTCCATGTGGAAGGAGAGGAACTTGTCATCCTCCAGAGTGTACAGGCGGACCTGCATGGGATAGAGGGCAGCCTCATTTGCTGGGTGGTGGAGTGGACTGATGGGGATGCTGGAGGCTGAGACTGGAAGCTCAGGGCTACAGCTGACTTGCTGTGTGAATGTGAACACGCAGCTCAACCTCTCTGAGTCTCAGCTGCATCCCCACGAATTATGAATTCAGCACAAATGGACAGGAAGGTGGCTTAAGACAACAGTGACTAAGGCAACATGTGGTGGTTCCTGTCAGCCAGGTGCCCATCCAAGCCCCAGTGGCACAGGCAGGAAGTGGCTTGTCTAGGGGAACAGGCAGCTGGCAGAGCTTAGGTCTCCTGTAAGCGCGTGCCTGCTGGCTGCCCCGATCCCTGCAGTGATCACTGCAGAAGAACAGAGAGGGAGGAAGTGCCTGGTCAGACAGCAGCAGACCTGAGTGGTTGAGAACAGGAAGGGGGGCAGGCAGGAGAGAAGAATCTAGGGGTTCTCGACTCCAGGCCCTGCAGGGGTGGGTACGTTTCCATAACTGGACTGGTTTCTTGATCTCACCCAATTCTTTGAAGAGATCTTTTTTTGACATAAGTGGTGTGGGAGAGTTCTTGTTGCTTGCCATTAGCCACCTCTGGCTCAGATGAGAAAGGAAAATTGGGTGGGTGGGGTCAGCTACCTGACTGATCTCCGAGGACAGCACCCAGTTGTCCTTGGCCACAAGCATCTTCAAGGAGGAGACGTTATTGTAGCTCAGGTACACCTGAAAGAGTACACAGGTGCTACCACTACCCCACCCCCTTCCTTCAGGGCCCCTGAGCCAAGGCCAAGGGTGTGCCAGAGAGGAACCTGGGCCAGGAATGGGTTGGGCGGTGGGTGGGTGGTGCGGCAGGTGCTGTGGAAAGAGTCCTGGGCGTTGAGAAGGGAGGTCCAGGCTTGGGCTTGGCTAGACCCACTGTGTGACCCTAGACAAGCTACTCTGCCTCTCAGGGTCTCCGCTTCCACCTACCAAACAGGGACGCAGGCCAGCTCTTTGCTAATGGTAGCAATCATGAGGCGTGTCATTCATATCCTGCTCTCCCCGGCCTTCCTCCAAACCCGTTCTGACAAGCAGGGAAGGGTGGGGGCCCGGTGGGTCTGAAGACTGTCCTCTCGGAGCAGAGAGCCTTACCTGGTTGCTAGGGTCCCAGGGGACGGAGAGGGGCACCTCTGTCTGCTTACAGGACACGATGTACTTCCTGGGAAGGAGAGAAGATGACAACCTTGGTCCCCTGGAAGTTCAGCACTTTCCACAGACTCTACTGCAGGCCTACTCTGTGCTAGGCCCTGTGCTGAGCCCGGCAGAATGGGAGACTCCTGTCTGGGTAGGGAGGCTGGATGGTCACACAGGACACAGCAGCTGAGGGCACACCAGCTCGGCCCCTACACCAGGGAAAGCTCAGAGGTGGGAGCGAGCCAGCAAGGAAGGGTATGGCGTCTAAGGCTCGATTCCCACACCCCATACCCCTGCTGAGTGACCTCACCCTGGTGCTGCTGTGTCCTCATCTGTGAAATGGGATCAGCAGTCACCCCTGCCTCATGGGGACATCACAATAACAGTGCTTGGCACACGGTAAATGCTCAGTAAATGCCATAGATGCACACTTTCTTACTAACAACAGCTTGTGATCCCTGCTGTGCTTACAGCCTCTAAAGTCCATAAATGCTTTCACAGCAGAGTCAGACACACCTGGCTTCATTTTTATTTATTTATTTATTTTGAGACAGAGTCTTGCTCTGTTGCCCAGGCTGGAGTGCAATGGCACAATCTCGGCTTGCTACAACCTGCAACTCCCGGTTCAAGCGATTCTCTTGCCTCAGCCTCAGCCTCCTGACTATAGGTGCACTGGGACTACAGGCGAGAGCCACCACGCCCAGCTAATTTTTGTATTTTTAGTAGAGACGGGGTTTTGCCATGTTGGCCAGGCTAGTCTCAAACTCCTGAACTCAGGGGATCTGCCTGCCTCGGCCTCCCAAAGTGGCTTTACCTCTTGAACAACTGCATCTCCTCTCTGAACGTTTCTTCATCTGCCAAATGGGCATCAGAATCAATGGCAAGAACACAGGATTTAAAATCGGCTGGACTCAGCCAGCTTCAAATTCTGACTCTGCTGATGATATTTGTGTGTCCCTGGGCAAGCCACCTAACCCCTCTGTCCCCAGCGTCCTCGTGTGTACAACAGGCCAGAAGACCGCTGTGTAATAAGACCAAAACGAGAGGATGTAAAGGGCCCGGCCCAGGGCCCAACGCACAGGCAGCTCTGAAGAAAAGCGAGTGCCCTGGGGTCAGCGGAGCGTGAACAGCCCCGAATCCACATTCTGCCCACCACTCAGCCCCTACTCACCTGTCCAGGCGGATCTTCTTTCTGGCACTGGCCTCTCGGTACCGCCGCTCACCATCCTGGGGAGGAAGTCGGGATAGGCAACCAGCTACCCCCACCCTCCGTCCTGCCCCCTCTCCATCCCCCAGGGCCCAAGGAGTTCCTGCAGCCCTAACGTGGAGTTCAGGTGTCGCTGGGGCAGCTGGAATCAAAACATCCTGGCCAGCAAAGTGGGAAACTAAGCTGTAGCCCCAGCTCCCCTCAAACTCTCTGAGTGACCTGGGAACACCACCTCCCCTGGCCAGACCTCAGTTTCCTCCTCTGTAAAATGGGGATCCTTACAGGCCACTCACAATGGTAATGAGAGTCCACATTTACTGAGCACTCACTACACACCAGCCACTCTTCTCAAGGGCTTTCCATGTGGAATTGCACCAAATCCTTACAACAACCCTCTGAGGCTGGGGCTGGTGCTGTATCCATTCTACAGAGGAGGAACCTGAGACAAGGAAGGGTGAGGGCTTGCCAAGGCCACAGGGGTAAGGGCCGAGGCCAGGATCAGCACCCCAATGGCCTGCCTCAAGCCCACCCTCTTTACCGCCACATCTAACGTCCTCCAGCCCCAAGTACAAGGAAAATGCCTGGGAAGCGGCTATGGCTGTGACCCCCAGCTCCCAGTCCCGAGGCTCCACCCAACTCCACAGCCCACGCTACCCTCTGGAAGGCCAGCAGGAAGGCCAGGGGACCTCCCCCAAGGGAGGGAGCGGCCTCTCCAAGGCCTGGCCCACAGGAGGCACAGGGAGCATTTTGTAAGAGAGGACCTTGCACCAGGCTCCTGACTGTCTTCCCGTGCCCCTTGCGTTGCTTTCACCATCCTCCTGACCGCTCCCAGGGCGCAGCCAGGCATGGAGTCAGTACTGCATCTATCGCCCCACAGTCCTGTGAGGTAGGGACTGCAGATACACCCATTTTACAAATGGAGACTGAAAGCTCGAGGGGGCATCACTTGAATGTAGTAGAGGCGAGGTTCCAACCCACATCTGACTCCAAAGCCAGTACTCTTCCAACCCTGCAGGCTCATGACAGCCCATTAACCCCCAACTCCGAGCCAGACCCACACATACTCCGAGTTCTGTCAGGCAGAACAAGCCCGCCCTGCACAAGGGGCATCCCAGGGCTCACAGCCAGGACACTCAGCTGGCTGTGCCCCAGCACGGGGGTAGGGTGGGCCCCTCACGCCTCTAGGTCTGTAGGGGGCTGGCAGTCTCCACCATGCCAGGGCAGAGAGGGAGGGGAGGGGAGCTGCTGGTGGGGCAGGGCGCTGGTCCCACTTACGCCGGGCTGGGGCCGAATCCAGGGCAGCAACTGGGGCTGGTCATCTGCGTCCAGGACCACAAAGGTCATAAAGGCACTGTTGATGTGGCGCCGGTGGGTCTCAGCCTCCTGGCGATAGGCCTCCACGCACACGCCCACCTCCATGCTGAGGGGAGGGAGTGTGGCTTCCAACCTGGACAGACCTTCCCAAGGGCCATGCCTCCTCCCCAACACACACACTCACACACACACATGCACACATGCGCCCACACACATGCATGCACACACACACACGTATGCACACACATACACACACATGTATGCACACACATACACACACATGTATGCACACACACACTCACATACACTCCTGCAGTTCTTCCAGCAACGTGGATCAGAGTCCCAGTGACAGGACACCTGGGACCGCTCCCTCCACCATTGTTTACAGAGCACCTCTTGTGTGTGTCCGGCCCTGTGAGGATGCGAGAGTGAATAAACCTGTCCAGTCTATGCCTCATGGGCTAACAGTCAGGGGAGGAGGCAACCAACAAGAAAGCAAAGGTATAAATATGCCATCAAAAACTGCAAAGGGATGTAAGGACATAAACCAGGAGGTGGAGGTGGACGGCCTAATTAGAAAATGTTCATTATGTGCATATTTACAAGTGCTGTGGCAGCCTTGCTTCAAACAGCTCAGTTGCTGCTATTCATGTATCTTACTGTCTTTATTTCTTTATTCCTTTATTTATTTTTTGAGACAGTCTCATTCTGTCGCCCAGGCTGGAGTACAGTGGTACAATCTTGGCTCACTGCAACCTCCGCCTCTTGGATTCAAGGGATTCTCGTGCCTCAGCCTCCTGAGTAGCTGGGATTACAGGTGTGTGCACCATGCCTGGCTCATTTTTTGTTTATTTAATAGAGACGGGGTTTCGCCATGTTGGCCAGGATAGTCTTGAACTCCGAGCCGTAAGTGATCTTCCTGCCTCGGCCTCCCAAAGTGCTGGGATTACAGGCGTGAGCCACTGCGCTCAGCCACTTACCATCCTTATTAATTATAAAATAGCAGCCACCACCATTCCCCCTCACTTTGGAAGTTCTATGATTGCAGAGTGTGGACATTATATAGATGGGGAAACCAAGGCCTAGAACTGGGCAATGATTTTTCCAAGGATTCCAGATTCCTGGAATCTGGACTAAAATCCAGGCTTCACAGCTCCTACAAAAGGGCTTTTCCCCTGCACCGTGGCAGAACGTGTGCAAGTCAGACTGCAAATAACAACAATAATAGTAAGAGCAGCCACAATGGCTGACCTTTACCGGACATTTTCTCTGGCGTTCTACTAGTAACGGCTCATTGAATCCTCATAACTCTGAGGTAGTTGTGATGAGCCCCATTTTATAGGTGAAAGAACTGACACTCAGAGGGGTTAAGTTACTTCTAAGGTCACAGAGCCAGTAAGAGGTGGAGCCAAACTCGAATCCGGCAGCCTGGCTCCTGATCCCTCACTTTTAATAATTAAATAATGACCTCTGAAATTCTCAAAAAATTTACTTATTTAAAGTCAGCTTTCATGGGAGTAGGTTTCAGAATTCATTGCAAAGGCAAAGACTCTGTGGACTAATTATTTTAGGAAATGTGTGGGAAAGGGTTTGATAAATAACCAAACACTGGCAAGAAGTGGCCCTGTGATCTGAGCATCTACAGCGGTCCAGGCATGGAGCCAGGAGCCAAGGAGGGAGACAGAGACACTGATCTGAGACAGCGGGAGACAGGGGCTGGGGGATCCCAGAGGAGGGGTCCCTGACCCAGCCAGGGGTGGGCAGGACTGGGAGCCAGGGAAGGCTCCCAAGAAGGGAAAATCAGAGCTGAATTTCAGAGGAACCCATCAGCCAGGCAGGGATTTAGACCCTGTCTGCAGGGCAAAGGGCTCCTGGACAGTTTGAAGTAGGGTCCTTTCTAGGGTCAGGAAGAGCCCTCAGCCCTGAATGGACGTGGCCGCACCCATCCCAGACCCTCACCTATGTTTGAAGGCATTGTTCACGATGGCTTTGAGCACCAGACGGTCGCCGACCTGGGACGGGCCTCGGAAGTGGAACATTTCAATGGCCTTCAGCGTAGGGTGGGCACGGCAGAGCCGGCTGAGGAGGCAGGGGTGGGGAGACAGAAGGAATGCCCCTGGTGCTTCAGCCACTAGTTTGGGCCAGATTTTTATATATATATATATATATATATATATATATATATATATATATTTTTTTTTTTTTTTTTTTTTTTTTTTTTTTTTTTTGAGACAGAGTTTCACTCTTGTTGCCCAGGCTGGAGTGCAATGGCAGGATCTCGGCTCACTGTAACTTCTGCCTCCTGGGTTCAAGCAATTCTCCTGCCTCAGCCTCCTGAGTAGCTGGGATTACAGGTGTCCGCCACCATGCCCAGCTAATTTTTTGTATTTTTAGTAGAGACAGGGTTTCACCATGTTGGCCAGCATGGTTGCAAACTCCTGACCTCAGGTGATCCACCCCCCTCGGCCTCCCAAAGTGCTGGGATTACAGGCATGAGCCACCACACCTGGCCTCTCTTTTTTTTTTTTTTTTTTGAGACAGGGTTTCACTCTGTTGCCCAGGCTGGAATGCAGTGGTGCAATCTCGGCTCACTGCAACCTCCGCCTCCCGGGTTCAAGTGACTCTCCTGCCTCAGCCTCCCAAGTAGCTGAGACTACAGGCACGCACCACCACACCTGGCTAATTTTTGTATTTTTAGTAGAGATGAGGTTTTACCTTGTTCCCAGGCTGGTCTTGAACTTCTGGCCTAAGTGGCCTCAGCCTCCCAAAGCGCTGGGATTACAGGTGTGAGCCACCATGCTAGGCCAGCTTGGGCCAGCCTTCTACCCTGGTCCCATCCCCAGACGCAGCCTGGAACTACACATTCTGACCCACCCACTGCCACCCAACCCAGTGGCAGTTCTGCCCAGAGGCACAGAACTAAAGTCCCATTTCATAGTTTAGAATACTGAGGTCTATGCATGGCTGGAAAGAAGCCAAGTTTGAGGGGACAGAAGAAAGCAGGGCTTTGGGTAAACCCCTTTCCCATTTTCCTTCCAACTTTTACACCTTGGTAGCTGCTGTTCCCACTATCCAGAAGCCCTCCCCTTACCCAAAGCTACTTGGCATTCAAGTCCCAGCTGAAGTGCTCTTCCTTCAGGCAGCCTTCCCTGACCATCAGGCTCCTCCAGGATCTTACTGCACTCATAGCCAGGCCTGCCCAAAACAGCATTGCTTATGCACTGTCTCCCACAGGTTAAACTGGAGGAGGGGCCATTTAAGCCAGGCTCTAAAGAATAAGGAGGAATCCACCTGGCTGGAAAGGGCATGGGTTGGGAAAGGCACTCCTGGTAGAGGGAACAGCAAGAGCAAAGTCTTGGAGGTGTGAGAGTGTCAATTAGTGAAGGTCAGTTACCATAACTATAAAAAATACCCTGATATTTAGGGTAGAACAAGCCCCGGACAGAAACAGATGTTAGAGGAGAGAAAACAATTTTCACCCCTTAGAAGAAGGGAACAGTCAGAGATGGCTTTATGGAGGAAGTGGGCAGGATATTAGCAGACAAAGAAGAGTAGGGGAAGCACGGCAGGAGGCTACATCAGGAGCAAAGGCAGGGGCTGGGAAAGTGGAGGATGGGAACAGAGAACAGCAAATGGTTTGATGTGAAGCGAACATAGATACTAGAAGGCTTGATGTGAAGGGAACATAGATACTAGAAGGAGTGCAGGTAGGGCCAGATCAAGGGGAGGATCTAGTGCCAGGCCAAGAGACCTGGTGTTTCCCATGTAAAAGATGCTAGCTTTTTTAGTAGAACAAGGAATGGTCAGTTCACAAAAATTCATTTCTCTGATTCAGAACAGCCAAGCTTCTGAAGCCTTGAATGCCAACCCCAAGCTGGGGTTTCCCCTCCAGAGGGAGGTAGCCAAGGGGAGGAGGAGGAGAAAGGAGGGGAGGCAGAGGCAGCACACCCTGCCCTCACCTGGCTGCAATGGTGGCCACATTCTCCATCCAGGCCATGATCTGGCCCCCAAAGGTGTTGCCCTGGTGATTGGCGTGGGGAGGCAGGACCAGCTCCACACTCTCCACACGGGTCTTCTCAGCCGGCACCATGCGGCTACAGTCTCTGCTCTCCAGATCTGACCAGGGATGGGATAAGGGAGGGAAGCAGGGAGGTGAGAACATTCCCAAGGGCAGCCCCTCCCCACAGGCAGCCCTGGGACCCCCACCACTCTACCCCACTCAGGTTCTTTTATTTACTCAGCACAGAGTGCACATGAGGCAGAGGGTGGCCCTGGATGAGAGGGATGAGCCTGTCCAGTGCAGTGGATGCAGCACCAGCTCTGAGACAAGACAGCAGGTCTGAGCCTCAGCTCCACTCCAGACTGCCTGTATGGCCTTGGGCAAATCAAGTAATCCCTCTGAGCCTCGGTTGCCTCATCTGTAAAGGCAGGCATGAAATCCGACCCGATAGGACTGTTTGAAGATGAAATGTGATTATTGTCACAAAGTGCTTGACTCAAGGCCAGACATAATGGCTCATGCCTGTAATCTCAGCACTTTGGGAGGCCAAGGAGGGTAGATCCCTTGAGGCCAGGAGTTCAAGACCAGCCTGGCCAACATGGTGAAACTTTGTCTCTACTAAAATACAAAAAAGTTAGCTGGGCATGGTGGCGAGTGCCTGTAATCCCAGCTACTCAGGAGGCTGAGCCACGAGAATCACTTGAACCTGGGAGGCAGAGGTTGCAGTGAGCCGAGATCACGCCACTATACTCCAGCCTGGGCAACAGAGTGAGACTCTGTCTCAAAAAAAATAATAATCACAAAGTACTTGACTCCAGTAAATATGCTCTCAAAAAGGATGGTTTTTCCCTGCCTTCTGCCCTGGTGATTCCCTTATCCTTGGCAGCAACAGTGTTAGAATATCCTTAGTAGGAGAGGCCAGGCAGTGCATGGGGTCCTGGGCTTCAGGGCAGCAGATGCTGGCATGCCCCACCAAACCCAAGGTGGTGTCATTTGTCTCCTATCTCCCATGGAGAGACTTCTTCAGGGAGGGTCCATCAAAGAGCTGGCATTGCCCTTGGCTTGGCTTGCAGGCTCTCAGAGAGACCACAGACAGGGTGGGGGCAGACAGGAGGGGAAGTTGAGGGTGGCCTGAGCCAAGGTCTGGAGACAGGACGGGGAGGGTATTCACAGGGCAATGGGGCCTGTGGCTTAACAGGAGCTGCAGCAGGTCAAGAGACAGTACCCAGTGAAGCTGAGTGGCCAGCCAGAAGGCCCAGTGCCAGGCAAAGGCACTTGAGCTGATTCTTAGGTGGGAGCGCTGTTAGGACAGAAGAGATTTAGGAGGGCTGCAAGGGGATGGATGGATCAAAGGGGCCTTGATGACTGTAGGAAGAGCTGGGCCTCCCCAGCTCCGGCCTCCAAGCCCAGTAGAACCAGGGCACATGGAACTCAGGGCATAGCTTGAGGCTTCCTCTGGGCTTGGCGAGTTCTGCCTGCTCTCTCCCCACTCCGGGGAGATTTTCTTCTAAGATCGCCTCCTTTTGGTTTCAAGGAAGACTCAAATTTGAACATTCTGGGGATAAGTAAACAAGTCCAAGGTCTCCCTTCTAGGCCTTTGCCCAGGCTGTGCCCTCTGTCAGAAACCCTTCCTTATCTCCCATCTGTCAAAATCCCACCCAGTCCAAAGTAGATCTTTCTGTACTGGTATAGAACAACCCCCAGGATATATTTTTAAGGGGAAACTGCAAGATACAAAACAGTATGTACTGAATGCCCCTTTTCAGGAGCTAAATAATACATGCTATGCTTAGATATACAGGGAATACTTCTGGAAAGATACCCTAAAATGGGTAATAGTAGATGCTTCTGGGGAGACGACCTGGATTCTGGGATAGAAAGGAGTCTTGCTTTTTATTTTATCTTTTGAGGGGTGAGAATATATATACGTGTGTGTGAGTGTACGCATATATACACACACATACACATAAGCATATATATATGCTTTTTACATGTTTTATATATGCTATATACTTATTTATTTATTTTGAAATGGAGTTTCACTCTTTTTGCCTAGGCTGGAGTGCAATGGTGTGATCTCGGCTCACTGCAATCTCCGCCTCCCAGGTCCAAGCGATTCTCCTGCTTCAGCCCCCAGAGTAGCTAGGATTACAGGTGCACGCCACTACACCCAGCTAATTTTGTATTTTTAGTAGAGATGGGGTTTCACCATGTTGGCCAGGCTGGTCTTGAACTCCTGGCCTCAGGTGATCCACCCGCCTCGGCCTCCCAAAGTGCTGGGATTACAAGCATGAGCCACCACGCCCGGCCTATATATGCTTTTTATAGATGCATACATATATATATGCTTTTTAAAAAATTCTACAGTCTTCAAGTTATAGCTCAATACTATCTTCCCAAACACCTTGGCTTCTGGAGACCCAAATGCGTTTTGTGGCCAACAAAGGGATTTCCACATGACCTAACGGCAGCTTCATGGTTCCTGGGAGCTGGTAGAGAGGCCCAAACACTCCCCTTCCCTGGAGGAGACCTCGGAGCCAAGAGGGCTAGGAGAGGCCCAGGGCCACCAGTGGGTGGAAGTCCCCGGAGCCTCCCTTCCTGCCTCTGCCCAGTGGGAGCCCGGGGCAGAGGGGCCATGCAGGACGCCAGCTACCCTCCCCATGCACAGCTGGCAGCTGCTCACCGCCCTGAATGGCGCAGTTGGCCAGGAGGTCCTTGATGGTGTCTGCATAGACAAGGCGCATGCGCCGGCGCTCAGCCGCCACACTGTGCTCCATCTTCTCCTCTTCTGTCCGCGGCGTGATCTGCTTCAGCTTCACCTGTCGGCCAGGGGACAGGGTGGGGGACACTCAGGGCAAGTCTCCTGAAATAGCACAAGGGCCTGTCCCCAGCACCATGCCATGCCCGAGGCTAGCACACAGCAGGCGTGGGCTGCTGCTCAGTTCCAAGGCTTCCTCCCTCTTTGCCCCATCTTCCTGCCTCCACGATGACCTGATACATATTCATCCTCCAGCTCCCACCCAGGTCCCTTCCTTGGCCAAAGGCTCAGAGGATGGGGGGTGTCACTGTAGGTGACAGAATGGTGAGACCAGAATGGTGAGACCAGAAGAATCTTCGCTGGAGAAGCACAGGGAGAGGTGGGGAAAGGAGGGGAGAGGGGGCTGGGGGATTCCAATGCAATGAGGGGTGGGCCTTCCTCAGGGAGCTGTGGATTCCTGCTGTGTCCCTCCCCATCCCCTCTGCCAACCCCTAACCTCATTCCCCTGAGCCAGACTCGCCATGGCAGGTGCCCAGGTCACTGAGCAGCGTTCCAGCAGCCAGGCGCACCCAGTTACCTTGGTGATCTCTCGGCGGGCCACGAAGGTGGCCAAGGCCTTGCACACATTCCACTGCTTCTCAGAGCACAGGTCCTCCGAGGCCACCTGGATGCCCACCTGGAGAGGAACAGTAAGGGCGAAGGAATGAGGAACAACATTGCACTCACCAGTTAGAAGCCCCGCAGCTCCACCAGACAGCAAGTCCCAGCCCAGGCCAGGCCTCCAGAGTTTCTGCACCACCTACCAGGTCTGGGAGGCCAGAGATCTGAGGGGGGGTTTGACTCTGCCCTTGGGTCCCCGGGAAACCTTGGGCAAGTCACTTCCCTTCTCTGGGTCTCAGTTTCCTCATCTACAAAGTGGGAGTGATCAGACCTACCCTTGTGGGATTGTTGAGAGGATTAAAATGAGACTATGTCTACAACAGGGCTTCATACAGGCAGAATGTTGGCTAAATTTAAAGGATAGGCCAGGCTCAATGGCCTGTAATTCTAGAATTTTGGGAGGCTGCAGCGGGAGGATCACTTGAGGCCAGGAGTTCAAAACAAGCCAGGGCAACACAGTGAGACCCCTGTCTCTGCAAAAAAAAAAAAAAAAAAAAACCACACACACACAAAAATTAGCTGTGTGGTGGCACATGCCTGTAGTCCCAGCTACTCAGGAGGCTGAGGCAGGAATATTGCTAAAGCCCAGGAGTTTGAGGTTACAGTGAGCTATGATGGCACCACTGCACTCCAGCTTGGGTGACAGAGTAAGACCTCATCTCAAAACAATAATAAAAATAAAATAAAAAATCAAGAACAGGCACCTGGGGGTACCTGAGCATTCATGGGGTGCCCAGAGGCATAGTCAGGGCTATGTCACCCAGCCTCAGTGCTCCCTCAGGAACCACTGGCCCAGCTGGTGAAGTTGCCTGGGCCTGAAGTCCATAGGTGGGAAATAGAGCCCTCCCCCACAGCTCACAGAACCCTGGGCATCACCAGCAGTCCTCCAACCCTGCCACAGAGGAATCATGTTCCCTTTTGCAGATGAGGAGACGGGCTGTGGGAGGCAAGCTCATGGGCTGGAAACCCAGCACTCTCCCTGCCCCAGCTCCTCCTCCAAGATCAGGCGCTCATGCTGCCTTCCCTCCATTCCCACAAAAACCTGGCTGCTGAGGCTGGATGTGAGACTCAGGGGCCTGGAAGTCAAGTCCCACACTGGAATCTATGTAGCTCAGTGACCTGGGGCAAGTCCCTTCCCCTCCTGGGCCTCGATTTTCCTGTCTGTGTTCTGGGATTTGGGACAGGAAGATCCTTGGGATTCCCCTTGCTCTGCCAACCATTACAGAACTCTGCTGCTCTAATCAGGGCCCTGCAAGTGTGAGTGGCCCTGGGCTGCAGGGAGAAGAATGGAGAGAGGAGGTAGAGGACCCACCCACGCACCCACTCCCAAGCAGTGCCCACCCCACACACCTCCATGCTGGAGTTGAAGGCCCGGTTCACCTTGGCCTTGATATTCACCACTTGTCCAACACTGGGGAGAGGAAAGTAGGAGGTGAGCCTTCCAGAGGGGCCAGAGGGAGGAACAGGGGCCTCAGATACTTGCAGAGCCTCTCTTGCGGGGAGCTGGCAGGATAACTTCATGGCTTGCAGGGCATATTCACATCTGCGATACCACCAAGTCCTCAAAGCCAGCTAGCAAGATAGTGTCAGCACCCCACTTTACAGATGGTTAAGCTGAGGCTGAGAGAAGTAGCATGATTGCACTCATCTGCTCCCCCGTTCCCTGATCCCCGTTGTCCAATTAATGCCTGTGCTTCTTTTTGCTCTCGGCTCAATGGTCCCCTCCTCAGGGGACCCCTCGCTGCCCTGCAGTGGCCCACCCACCAACAGAGGCCCTGCAGAGGCTCACCCTGCGGCACTCTCCTGGCAGAGTGACCTCTGTCTCCCACAGTTCTTAAGCTCTACTAGGGTAAGGGTCATGGTTTTGCTCCCCATTGACTCTCCAAGGCCTAGCACATGGCACAGGGTGGGTCTCCCATAAAGGGTAGCTGACTGAATTAATGCATTCTACATGTATTGAATGCCTGGTAAGGGCAAGATGCTATAAACAAAGGGCAAGATGAGAAAAGGAAATGTTTAAAGAATGCCTGCTAGGTGCCAGGCACTGTGCACTGCCATTGGAACCTCAGAATAAGCTTGGCAGGTAGGTTTAGGAGAAACTGAGCATCAGAGAGGTTAAGTCATTTGCCCAAGGTCACCAAGCTAAAAAGTGGCAGAGCCAGACTTCTAGACTGACTCTGTTGACTGCACCAGCCCCTCTTTTCCCAGCTGCAGCCTGTCCTCCTGGAATGATTCCCACATCCATATGAATCCCCAGGGGAGCCACCTAGCCTGGGCTGTGCCTAATGGAGGGGGCAGAGGGTGCCCAGCTGATGGACTGTGGGGAGGAGGGGCAGGAGGCTAAAGGCCGGCCCTGTTCAATTGCTGTGTGATCTCCAGCAGGTCCTTTCACTTCTCTGGGCCTTGGCTCATGAACATGGAGAGTGCCATGCCAACTTCTTTCTCAAATGACACAGTCTTCTGGCCAAGCCTAGGAAGGGTCCATTCCAAGGGGCCTGCTGGTCAAGGGGCCACCGTGAACACAGTGGGAATGGCCACACAGGCCTGGGTTCCAGTCAAGCTCCACCTTAACCATCACACTACAGAGCTGTGTGACCTTGGGTGAGTCACTTTGCCTCTCTGAGTCCATTTCCTTCTGTGTAAAGTACTGCCTGTGGTTCTGAGGGTCAAGTGAGAGAGAATGGGACTGAGCCAAGCGCCAGGCCTGGCCCACAGCCGGAGCTCAATAAATACCACAAGCTCACATTTGCCAGACATTTGTTGATTCCTGTTCATTTTTTTAGTAATACTAATGGTCACGGAGGGGAGGGTCATTTTTAGGAGATTCATGCTGACATAGTGACGGATGAAGCATCACGATGTCTGCAACTCACTTTCAAATCGTTTAGCAGAGAGAGAGAGAGAAAGTGTATATATTATGTCTGTAATCCCAGCATTTAGGGAGGCCAAGGCAGGCAGATCACCTGAGCTCATATGTTCGAGACCAGCCTGGCCAACATGGTGAAACTCTACTAAAAATACAATAAATAAATAAATAAGCTGAGCATGGTAGGGCACACCTATAATTCCAGCTACTTGGGAGGCTGAGTCACAAGAACCGCTTGAACCCAGGAGGCGGAGGTTGCCGTGAGCCAAGATCGCACCACTGCATCCCAGGCTGGGTGACGGAGTGAGACTTTGTCTCTTAACAAGAAAAAAAGTATATGTATTTATTTATTTGTCCATACATAGATACAGCAAATTTAGAAAAATGTTAATTATTGGGTCTCAGTGGTGGTGACCATTGTACTATTCAACTTTTCTATATGTTTGAAAGTTTTCATGATCAAAAATTACGGCAAAAAACTTCTGTGGTCCCCCAGATAAAAATAAAAGTCTATTTTCTGTGGTGCTGAGAGGAATTTGTGATTTTTCCTCCTCTCCCTCCTTCTCTCTCTACCTTCCCCCAAAGCCAAGCAGACACCCATCTGGGTTTCTAAGCTCCTCCTCCTTCCTGACTGCCCTCTGTCCCCACAGCTCTGGCCCAAACCGGATCCTTCCCCAGGGCCACTGCCCAGCCTCCTCAGGGCCCCGGAGCTCCCGGACACCCTTCCAGGTGTTCTTCACAACGCAGACAAGCGACCCCCCATGAACAAATCTGACCCCCATCGAGACCTTCCCTACACCAATTTACTCTCAGGAGACAGAGGAACATGTTAATTGCACCACAGAAATTCAAATAGCAAACCCAGGTGATGAAGGACTCTAGAGGGCACATGGCCAGCTTTCCTCAACAAATATATTTTGAGAGAGAGAGACGGTGCCAGAGAGCTGGTGGAGGATTGGTGGGTATCTACAGAGTTTTTGGGTTTTTTTGTTTTTTTTTTTTTGAGACAGAGTCTCGCTCTATTGCCCAGGCTGGAGTGCTATGGCACTATCTCGGCTCACTGCAAGCTCTGCCTCCTGGGTTCATGCCATTCTCCTGCCTTAGCCTCCGGAGTAGCTGGGACTACAGGCGCTTGCCACCATGCCCGGCGAATTTTTTGTATTTTTAGTAGAGACGGGGTTTCACCGTGTTAGCCAGGATGGTCTGGATCTTATGATCTCATGATCTGTCCACCTCGGCCTCCCTATAGAGAAGCAACCAATTACAATTATTTGCATCCTGACTTGAATAACAAAATAACTGCAGGCTGGGTGTGGTGGCTCATGCTTGTTATCTTAATGCTTTAGAAGGCAGAGGTGGGAGGATCACTTGAAGCTAGGAATTTGAGACCAGCCTGGTCAACATAGCGAGACCTCATCTCTACAAAAAAACAAAATAATAATACAAAATTTAATTAGCCAGGTATGGTGCCACATGTCTGTAGTCCCAGCTACTAGGGAGGCTAAGGTGGAAGGATCGCTTGAGCCCATAAGTTCAGGGCTGCAGTGAGCTATGATGGTGCCACTGCACCCCAGCCTGGGCAACAGAGCAAGACTCCATCTTGAAAAAATAAATAACTGCAAAGCAAACAAAATAAAAACAAATTCATGAGACAGTTTGGGCATTTGAACACTGACTAGTGACGTTAGTGAAAAATTATTGTTAATTTTTTAGATGTGGTAATGATGTTGTGTTTAAAAAGAATCCTTCTCTAAAAAAAAAAAAAAAAAAAAAGGGCCAGGCATGGTGGCTCACACCTGTAATCCCATCACTTTGGGAGGCCAAGGTAAGCAGATCACCTGAGGTCAGGAATTCAAGACCAGCCTGATCAATATGGTGAAACCCCATCTCTAATAAAAATACAAAAATTAGCCCAGCTTGGTTGCCGGCACCTGTAATCCCACCTACTCGGGAGGTTTAGACAGGAGAATTGCTTGAACCTGGGAGGCAGAGGTTGCAGTGAGCCAAAATTGCACCACTGCACTCCGGCCTGGGAGACAGATCATCTCAATAAATAAATAAATAAATATAAAAAGAGTTATTAGCCCTTAGGGATACATTTGGAAATATTCTTAAGTGGCAAAAGCAGAAATAAACAAACAAAAAAACTTCTTAATCTTTCCTCAGGTGTGTCCAGGCCTTCCCTGGCCACCAACCATGCTCCAGGCCCCTCCCCAGCTTGTCCTCCTTCCCGGCATCCTCTCTGGCTTTCCCTTCCAACCACAGCCTCCTCTGCCCAGATTCACCTTCACTCTGCTGAGCCCTGCAGCAGGTCCAGCCATCATGCATGTACCCCTAACCCTCTCTATTCCTTGCTCCCCTAAGTAAAAGAACTTGTGTTGGCTACAGGGACCTGGAGCTGGCCCAGACACAGCTCCACTGGCTTCAAAGTATCACTATACACAGAGCTGACAGTACTGGCAGCTCAAATGCGTCCTCCAGGAAGTCCCCCCTTGACTACCCTCAGTGCCACGACACCTACCCCCAGACATACAGGAAATACAGCCCATTGGTTAAGAGCAAGGGCTCTGGGCCCAGATTGCCTGCCTGGTAGTATATCCTGGGTCCTCCATTAGCTGTACCACCTTCAACAAGGTACTTCATTTCTCTGTGCCTCAGTTTCCTCATCTGTAAAATAAGGATACTAATAGCTATGACCACATAGTATTGTTTTGAGGATCAAATAAGTTAACGTAATTAAAAAGGCATCAAAATAATGTATCAGTATTGGTGCACTAATTGTGACAAAGGTACCCTACAAATGTAAGATGTTAATCATGGGGCACCTGGGTGTGGGGTATATGGGAACTCTCTGTACTATCTTTATTTTTATTTTTTTATTTATCCTGAGACGGGATCTCACTGTGTCACCCAGGTTGGAGTGCAGTGGTGTAATCCTGGCTCACTGCAACCTCCACCTCCCAGGCTCAAGTGATCCTCCCACCTCAGCCTCCCAAGTAGCTGGGACCACAGGCGTATATCACCATGCCTAGCTAATTTTTGGTAGAGACAGGGTTTTGCCATGTTGCCCAGCTAGTCTCAAACTCCTGAGCTCAAGTAATCTGCCTGCCTTGGCCTCCCAAAGTTCTGGAATTGGACACAAGCCACTGCGCCCGGCCTTGTACTATCTTTAGAGATACAATGTTTTTATAAATTTAAAACTATTCTAAAATAAAAGGTATTACAAAGCAGCTGGGCAGGGTGGCTCACGCCTGTAATCCCAGCACTTTGGGAGGCCAAGGCAGGCAGATCACTTGAGGCCAGGAGTTCGAGACCAGCTTGGCCAACATGGTGAAACCCCGTCTCTACTAAAAATACAAAAATTAGCTGGGTGTGGTGTCACGCACCTGTAATCCCAGCTACTCAAGAGGCTGAGGCAGGAGAATCACTTGAACCCAGGAGGTGGAGGTTGCAGTGAGCCAAGATCATCACATCATTGCACTCCAGCCTGGGTGACAGAGCAAGACTCTGTCTCAAAAAAAAAAAAAAAAAAAAAAAAAAGGATTACAAACCAGAGCCTTTTTCTTTTTTGAGATGGAGGCTCGCTCTCTTGCCCAGGTTGGCAGGCTGGAGTGCAGTGGTGCGACCTCAGCTCACCACAACCTCTGCCTCCTGGGTTCAAGCAATTCTCTGCCTCAGCCTCCCGAGTAGCTGGGATTACAGGTGCTCCCCACCACGCCCGGCTAATTTTTTGTATTTTCAGTAGAGACAGGGTTTCACCATGTTGGCCAGGCTGGTCTTGAACTCCTGACCTCGTGATCCACCCGCGTAGGCCCCCCAAAGTGCTGAGATTACAGGCGTGAGCTACCATGCCTGGCCCAGAGCCCATTATTGCACAGAACTTCTCACTGCGAATTGAATGACGTTCCTACATCTGCCTCCCCTGAAGACTGGGAGGTCCGCGGAAGAGGCTGTGCTCCAGTGGACTTTGCATGCCCAGTCTCAGCAAGGCCTCTGGTCTGGAAAAGGTGCTCATCTAATATTAAGTGTGTGGTGAGGGAATGACTGATGACTGAATGAGTGAGTACAGGGACTGGCCAATCTTCTTCCTTAATGGTGACACACTGAGCACCCAGTGAGTCCTGAATAAGCCCTTGGCACTTGATGTCCTAGCTAGTGCTGGTGAGTTTAGGATCAGGCCCAGAGACAAGAGCTCTGTGTGTGGCCCTGCAGCCTGTCCTGGGCTGAGGGCTCAGCCTGCTCCTTGGATCCCAGAAGCAGGATCTATGGGCAAAGCTATGGGGAGGCAAAGCCCAGTGCGTGTGATGAATATTCTTCTATTCTGTACAGCCATTAAAAGAAAGAAAAGAAAAGAAAAGGCCAGGTGTGGTGGCTCACACCCGTAATCCCAGCACTTTGGGAGGCGAGGGCAGGTGGATCACCTAAGATCAGGAGATCGAGACCAGCCTGGCCAACATGGCGAAACCCCGTCTCTACTAAAAATACAAAAAAATTAGCCGGGCCTTGTAGCAGGCACCTGTAATCCCAGCTACTCGTGAGGCTGAGGCACAAGAATTGCTTAAACTCAGGAGGCAGAGATTGCAGTGAACCAAGATCGTGTCATTGTACTCCAGCCTGGGTGACAGAGGGAGACTCCATCTCCAAAAAAAAAGAAAAAAAAAAAAAAGTCTACTTTAGTAATGAGGTAACGAGCTCCTCATCCCTGGAAGGATGTGAGCAGAGGTTGAATGGCCCAAGCTTCTGGCTCCGACTTTGCCAAGGCACCTTGTCTAGGGGGCCTCCCTACAGCCCAATGACCAAGGACCCAAAGAGAATGTCCAAGCTCAAAAAGGCACTCAATGATTAAGTCTAACCCCATCCATTCTGCAGATGAGAAAACTGAGGCTCAGAGAGAGAGACTGACTTCCCCAAAGTCACGCAGCACCCCACTATGCTATCTCGGCCACACCCTGGCTGAGGGAACACCCACCCACCCACCCACTGCACAGAACAGCAGGTCAACTCCTAGCCCCCAGAAACACTGCAGAGGGGTTCACACTTCCCCAGAGGCTGCCCCCACCTCATTTTCAGTCAGTTGAGTCAGGCTCTAGGCAGCACAGACGCTGACCAGGCAGGGAGTCAGGAGGACAGGCCCCAGGCTGATGGGAGGGAGCCCAGAGGACCTTGAGGCAGGAGGGGCCACTTACCTAATGGTGTGCTCAAAATAGATGTCATCCATGGAAGCTGTGACACAGGGGCAGCCAGCGTGCCTCTCCGCTGGTGTCAGCAGAAGAAAGCCAGACATTAGCAGCCTCCCCCGATCACAGGCCTCTGCTCAGATGGCACCTCCTCAGGAGGCTTCTCCAGCCGCCCAAGCCAAGGCCACAACTCCCACCACACCCTGCTGCCACCATTCCTTACACCCCTCACCGTGGGCACCACCCCGACCATCTTCTGTATATCTGCTTTTCGTCTGTCTACTGTCTCTCCCTCCCACTAGATTGTAAATTACTTGAGGACAAGGATTTTTGCCTGTCTTGTTCATTGCTGTACCCCAGTCCTGGAACAGTGCCTGGCACATAGTACACACTCAGTAAGTAGCTGTTGAATGAGTGATCACACCACACTGGCCTGCTTCCCGGCCTTCTGGAGCCCCCGTCCCTTCAACCACCTGTTCCCTGCCTGAGTCATTCTCACTCACCCTCAGGACTCCACTCAGGTGCCTTAGCCCCTCAGGCATCCCTTCCCTGCCCCCAGGCCTGGGTCAGGGCCTCTGAAACAGTGCTGGGGAACAGTCGGGTCACCTGTCTATCCCCCATCCCCACCCTACCAGGCTGTGAGCGCTGTAGGTTGGAGAACACCGGTGCAACAAAAGGAATGAAATGGGCTCAGTCCAGCGCACCTCAACTCAAGGGAAGGAGCGCTGCAGGGCAGGCAGTCAGGGGCTTTGCTCAACAGCATCTCCAAGCCAATCTGAAGCAGCCATGTGGAAGGCTGCACTGTGTTGAGGCAGGGACTTAGGGCCTGGGACCAACACTCAGGGCTGAAGGGGTCTGAGTGAGAGAAAAGTGGGCTGTGCTGAGCATTGAGACATCAGGAAGGGCATTTCAGACAAAGGGACCAGCATGAGCAAAGGCCAAGATGAGAAACAAGTGTGGCACTTAGGGTGGACGGTGACCATCTCTGAAAGCACGGCCCCTGCTCTGGGCCTGTGGGGCAGGTAGGGAACCATGGGGAGCGCAGCCTTACCGGACAGGCAAGCCGTGGTGTCAATCCACTTGAGCAGCTGCCCGACGCTCAGCTCACCACGTTGGTTGGTGTGGCAGGGCAGCACCAGCTGGCTCATCTGCACCTCCGTGGGGTTCCGGTATCCCTCGCCGTCTGCCATGGCACTGTCGTTCCCCGCACGTAAGGCTGACTTCCGGGATGTGCGGTTGGAGAACACAGAGGCCAAGCCCTGGGGTACAGGTGGGGACAGGTGGGGACAGAGAGGTCTGCTTGCTGCAGGGTCTCCCAGGTCTGTCCAGCCCTGAGAACTTAGGGTCTGGGGGAGAGAGAGTACCTAGGGCCACCTCCCACCAGACCCCAACCCGAGAGTGGTCACCACCCTCCAGCCCGTGGTCTCGGACCCCAGGATATCTGTGATTGCTGCTTCTGCCCAGTTTCCTTTTGGCCAAGAACTGCACATGAACACGGCCTTGCACCCGAGTGGGCCAGTGGAGACAAAACCATGCAGAGAAGTCAGTCCTCCTTGCTTCAGCTCCTGGGCCAACTGTTTAAAGTGTTGCCTTAGATTTACGTTCATTCTGGAAAGAGTCGCCTCTCTATGCAGGGAGGCCTAGAGAGCTCCATAGCAGTCAAGCCCAGGGAACTGTTCCTAATACAGTGTTTCAAGAAGCCGCTCTGATTTCATCCCCAAAGGGCTCCTTTCTTGGGCTCCCTCCATCTTCAGAGGCCATCAGGACAGCCTCTGTGGCCCGCTAATGTCTAGCACTTGGATCTATTGACTGGGAGGGCTGTGGGCAGTCACAGACCAGCTGTCTGATCCAGGGCTGGGTACAACAGCTGCCAGCTGGAAAACTGGCTGAGAAAATTCTCCAACTAATGAATTAGAGCTGGGGTTTCTGCTTGGAACCAGCATGTCTTACTCTCCAAGCAGAAGAGGTGGGGTGTGCCCATCAGTCCTTTGGAAGGGAGGAAGAGGAAAGGGGCTAGCAGCCTGCCATCCCTAAGCAGACCATGAGCTCAAGAGCTGGGCACACCTGCATGTGTGAGAAAAATGAGGAGGGACAGGCATATGGGTTCCGATTCTCATGGCCAATGCCAATTGTGTGGTGGTGATGACAGTCGCCACTAATGTTTATATGGCACTTAGGTGTCACATAATTTTACAAGTACTTTATTTGTACTAATCCAATTTTATCCTCCCAACAAACCTATGAGACAGATGCCTTATTATCCTTATCCTACAGATGAGGAGCCCAAGTAAGTGACAAAGCTCAGCTGTGACTCCAGAGGTCTGCTGCAGCCTGAGCTCCTACCCCCGACACTACACTGCTTGCAGGGCCTCCTGGGGCTGAGATGAGGAGTCCAGGGACCTGGGCTTGGCTGTAGTGGCAAAGAGCAGCATGCCCCAATGGTGAGCCTGCCACGGCTGCAGGATGCTGGCAGTGGTAGCTCTTGCACCTGGTGTATACTCCTTAGATAATTCCCCCCAGTGAGCCTCCCATAGCTAATTCAATTTCAAGCACTCCGAGGTGGCTTGTTCAAAGTCACTGACCCCCATGTGGTACAGCCAGGATTTGAACCAGGCCTGTCTGACCCAGAACGGCTTATGGGTTCCCAGAAACACGGCTTATTCCCAAGAGCCCCTGGGTAGGAGGCTGGGCACCAAGGGGAGGCAGGAAGACAGCCATCCCAGGAGCTCTCAGCCAGGGTGGAGGCCTGCAGGGTGCCAGGCTGCCTGGCTTGCGGGCTCTCACAGGTAGCTGGAAGGCCGATGTTGTCCAAGCAGCAGGACCCATCGCCATGGTAACCACTGCCAAGGCACTTCCCGCTTGGTTGTGCGCTGGGGGCCTGCATGGATACGGGTGGCTGGCTTTCGGGGTGTGGGAGTGGGTAGAGGGAGGTGGTAGGCAGGACTCCATTCGTCCACACTCTTCCCAAACCCCTCCCATAGCCAGGGGTATTGGGAAGAAATTCCAGAAAGAAGCCCTAGGGAGAGCTGAGGAAATGGGGAGACAATGCCCACTTGCAGAGGGCAACTGGGCAGAACAAAAGGGGCAGAACAAAAGGGGCAGACTGCCTGGGGTTTCTGGGCAGTCTGGACACACACACAGGGACGCCGACACACAGCACCCCCGCTTTACCAGCCTGGGCACGTCCGCCACTTCTCTGAGCCCTCACGAGGACGAGGGCAAGAACTATTGACCCATTTCACCAACAAGGGAACACGGGCACAGTCCTGGACCAGCAGTCATGATACCTAAGCTCTGGTCCTCTCTCTGCTTCTCACCTGGTCAACCCCTCCTCCCATGCACTCCCGTTTCCTGTTCTGTGAATCAGGAGTCCCTACCTTCCTGTTGGACCCTATGCCACGGGAGCCAGGACCTGTGCCTTGCTCACTGGTTCATTTGTTCATTTGTTCATTCACCAAACACTTCCTCTGTACGGGGCCCTGGGCAAAGATAGAGAATACAAAGACAAATTGGGCCTAGAGGGGCCTGGCACACAGGAGGACATCGTCAAAGGTTTGTGGAGGGACAAACAGAGACGGACTTGAGTTCAAATTCTACCTGTGTCCCTCAAGTGCTGTGTGATCCTGAGCAGGGTCTCCCCCTTCCCAAGCCACATCTGTCACTCACCAAGTAGGACAGAGAATTGCCAGTCCCTAAAGTACCCCTGGTTCCAGGAGTCCAGGGCCTAACTCAGCCTGGGATTTGCATACCCAGCTGAGATTCCCAGGGAGGAAGCTCTAGAACCCTGTCAGAATGGAAATACTGTGCTCCTCTAAGCAGGGCCCCTGAAGCACACTGAGAGACAAGCCTCGCAGTTGCTATCCCCACCACTCCCCTCAAAGAGAGGGGCGCAGAAGCCGTGGGCTGGAGCACAGGCAGCAGGGACAGAGCAGCAGGTGGCCCCAGGCATAGCCTTTCAGACTCCACTCCTTCCTTGGGCTCCAAGGCAGTCTGCCCACATTAGGGCATGCCAGGCCAGGCCTCCTAGTCCCAAGGTGGGCAGGCAGCCAGTCTGGGAGGCAGGGGTGTGTGCAGCCCAGGCAAGTTTTGGCCAATGGGGCTCCAGAGCTGGGCCACTCCTCCCAGGGCCAGTCATAGGGAGAGGAGAGGCCCTGGATAGAGTCAGGGCCTGGGCAGCCAGGCAGGCCGAGCCAAGAGAGCTACCAGGGTGGCGGGGGCTGAACCACTGCAAGGGTAGGAGGACACCCAGAGGTCGGAGATGTGCCCTCTCAGACAGCAGCTGTGCCAAGTGCTGGCCCCAGGCCCTGGCAGACCTGGCCAGACTTGATAATGCTAGACTAGGCCCCAGCTAGCCACACCATGGGCTCTGTGTCCCTCCTCCTGAGCCAGAGTCATGTCACAGACCTGCAGGGTCAGGGCAGGAGAGACCCCCTCACCCAATCCGTTCACAGCCTGGGGGACTAAGGCACAGAGGGAAAAGCTGGCCCAGGGCCACCCAGCTGCGGGGGCCAATATAAGCCCTGCTGGGCCACGGCTCCTTCTAGGCAAGTTGACAACAGACCCACAGGCTACTGGGCCCACAGGCTACTGGGGCTGGAAACAGGCCCAAGGCTTCACCTTGGTTTCCTCCCTCTGCCCAGTATCCAAGTCCCAATGATCCGACCTTAAACAGGCCTCTGATCTAACTCCTTCCAGCCTCCACACAGCACCAGAGGGATCTTTCCAAAAAGCAAATCCAACTCAACAACTACCTTCCTTTCGGGGAGACCTGGTCCTCATAACTCCACCCACCATGGGACTTTGCTCTGCCCCTTAGGAGCACATAGACCTTTCTAAAGAGCAAGCCTCACCAGGCACTTCCCCTGCTCAGGACTCTTCGATGGCTCCCCACTGCTCTCAGGATCAAGAACCAGCCACCGTAGCTCCTGCCACTCACCCCAGCAGCCACTCTCAGCTCCAGACCATATACGTTTCCTTAGAGCACCACTCTCACTCCCGCTGTCTTCCCCCAACATGAAGGTGCCACTTCCACCTAGAATCCGTTTATCTGCGCCTGTCTGCTAGGTGAGCTCTTCCTCATCCTGCATCTCTCTTCCCCAGGGAGAGTTAGAATGCCCCTGCAGCCTCACCATCTCCATCATGGCACTGACCAAGCTGGGTAGTCACTGTCCTCACAGTTGCCACCCCCATCAGACAGATGCTTCCACGGGACAGGGACACGTGCCTGGCACAGATTTGGGGCTAAATAAATGCCCATGGAAGAGAGAAAGGAAAAGACTAATGGTCTGAGAGCTGAGACTCACAGTGGGAGGAAGGTCTGAGGTACAGAGAGGCCATAAGGAACAGCAAAAAGGAGAAACAGAACGGCTGTGGTTCAGGTGACAGGAATGTCAGGGCAAAGGGTTCAGGTGATGTGAACACTGGGGCAAATGAGAGCAGGTGGGAAAATGCTCTACATACCTGGATGGGTGGAGACAGAGGAAGAGGGGCTTGGGGGCCAGGCCAAGAAGTCCCCAGAAACGATGGAAGACTTCTGGAGAAGGTATGCCCTAAAGTGATAAGCCAGCTGAGATCACAGTGCCTGCAGACCCCAACTGGAGCAACAGGCCTGGTGCAAAGGAGACCTACCTGCCCTGAAGGGGAAGAGCACGCCTGGGTGACCTCTGGAGTAACCCACCCTGACACAGGCTGTGCACAGGCCTTGGGGGTCAGCCTAGCTTGGGTTCAAGTCCAATTCCACAACTAACGTTGATAACCTTGAGCAAGCTGCTACACCTCTATGGGTCTCGGTTTCCTGTCTATAAAAATGGGATTATTATACTCACTTCCAAGAATCATCATAGGGAGGAAATTAAACAACACCAAGTATATGAAGCTCCTGGCACACATATACCCTGTGGCTAACATGTATTGAGTGCTTACTATTAGCATTATAAAGTTGGTGCTTTCTACAGAAATACAGCTGGGAGGGACCCAAACATAGTTCAAAGTGGACTGTTTCCACAGTGCTTTCTACCCATGAGCTCTCCAGAGTCTCACAGCAACCCTGTGCAGGGCAAGATTACGAGCTTGTTTGAGAGGTTCTGTGAGAATTCAAAAAGCCAGTGATTATGGAGCAGGGCTTCAAACCCAGGGTGCAAAACTGCAAAGCCCCTGTTCCTCCCACTCTCCCGCCCCTGCCTCTCACAAGGTACTGGAAGGTGGGCCCCAGGGGCGGGCAGGGAGAAGAGGCCTTGCACCCACTCCAGAGTTGTGGGCCAGGCCCCATGAAAGGCCCCATTGTCTGAACCAGGTCACTCTAAGCAGTATGAGGGAGCTGACTAAATTCCATGCTCTGTCCCCACAAAGGTGGCCCCAGCCCCTTCCCTCTCCCCCAGCCTCTCAGAGAAACCCAAGGGCAGCCTCCTGGTGCTTTCCCCACCAACAAGGCAGGAGTATTCCTGCCTGTCAACATTCCAAAGCTCCTCTTTTGGCCTATTCCCTGCCTTCTTCCCAAAAAAGGCTCTGAGGCAGCCTACACACATACCCGGGACACACACAGGATGCACGTGCACTAGGAACCAAAATACAAACAAATAAAGTTAAGGAACCAAATAAGAGAGGAGAGGATTGTTAGGAATCCAGATGCTGCCAAAGAGAGCTGCATGGGCCTTGAGGTTCCCAGCAGACAAGAAAAAAAAAGGGTAGTAGTGGTGGGCAGCAAACTCATGGGTAAAATAGGGAGCATACGTCCTCAAAGCTAGCCCCAGGGCTGGGAGGAAGGATACCAGGAGGCTGTTCCTCAGGCTTCTGATTGTCATACAATATCAGATCATATCTTCATTCTAGAAGACAAACGATGGTCCCAATGTCCTATCAAACATCTTAATTTTCCTTTAGCTACTAAGTGTGTTCACACTTGACATTCTTCAAGATTTGGGAGTTGGAAAGGTAGAGAATTGAACCAATATTTTTATGAAGCATCTCCTATATGTATTCATTTGGTGAACAGTTATTGAATGCCTACTAAGTCTCAGGTCCTATGCTAGCAGTTCTCATACGTATTACCCTAGCAATTCTTTTTTTTTTCAAGATCATAAATTAAATATTTTATTTTTACAAGTAAAAATAAAAATTAAAAAAATAAACATTCCTCTTTGGGCTTCCAAATGGTAGGTGCTTCTTTCACTAATACCACAATATGCTTGTTGTTCATTCTCCTTTCTATCACACTGATTTTGCATGCAAGGAAAGGAGGCCTGGATAGAGGTCATAATAAAAATAAAATAAAATAAAATAAACTTTCTCCTCCTAAATCTGAAGCCCTGGTAAGCATCCCAGAATGTGGAGCAGAATCTGAAAATCTTCACTAAGAGGTTATTCAGGTCATGGACTGTCATCTGCCTGTGAATCTGCATTTAGAAAGATGATCTCTTTTCCTGAGAATCTGTGGCAGACAGGAGTTAACCTAAAAGGCTTGAGGTTTATCCATAGTGCTGGCGTGGTCAGTCAGTCAAGTAGTGTGATGCTTTTCAGGGGGTGGGGCCTGCACTGCCATAGGTGTCTTGGTTTGTCCAGGAGATGCAGGTCCTTTCACAAGGTTCCCATCAGCAATAAGAGACTGGAGACACTCATTCCAACATTGCATGGAGAGAGCTGTGTCTTGCTGACCCAGACCCTGCCATTGCTGTTTAGGGTCACCAGGCTGAGGCTGAGCCAGATTCTTAACGGGCAGCAAGCACAGCCAGGCCAATGTGTTTGTTCCCCTTGTCACTTTGGCATCTTCCTTGGTATGGGGGTCAGAAAGGAGTCTGCATATGTGACAGCCTCACTCATAGAACTGGCACTATTGACACAGGACTTCTAAGTGTCAAAGGAAGGTGAGAGCTCTCCCTGCACAGCCTGGGTAGGGGGAAGCATCATGACCCCTGGTGCCTGGCTCATGCAGCCCCGAGAGGGATCCTAAGGAACCAAGGACATGTAGAATGGGAGAAAAGCCAGTACACAGGGCTTTTTGGTACTGAAAAACTTGGAAGGAGGAACAGGACCAGAGCTGCATGGGGCAGCGCACAAGCGGCTTTGCTCCAGCCTCACAGTCATGTGAGGTCTCTGGCCTGGGCCTGCTGCCAGGAAATTCACGGGACCTGTGTACATTACTGGTGGGAATGTAAAATGGTTGAGTCGCCATGAAAAACAGTTTAGCAGTTCTTCAAAAAGTTAAACACAGAAATACCATATGACCCAGCAATTCCACTCCTAGTTATATACCCAAAAGAACTAAAACAAGTACAAATACATGCACATACACGTTCATAGCAGCACTATTCACAGCAAGCAAAAGGTAGAAACAGCTCAAATATCCATTAATAAATGAATAAATTGTAATATATATGTATGTATATAGATATATATGTATATCTGTATATGTATCTTTATCAAATGAATGGTTATTCAGACATAAACATAAATGAAGTACTGATACATGCTAAAACATAGATGAATTTCAAAAAGATATACTAAGTGAAACATACCAGAAACAAAAAGTCACATATTGTATGTATCCATATTAGCGGATAAATCTATAGAAACAAAAAGCTGATTGGTGGTTGCCGGGGCTGGGGGCAGAGGGAATGGGGAAAAACTACCTAATGAGTAAGGGATTGTAGTACTTTAGTGTGATGGAAATTTTCAGAGCTAGACAGAGGTGGTGGTTGTACAACACCGTGAATGTGCCAAAAACCATGGAACTGGTCACTTTAAAATGGTTAAGTTTACATTATGTGAATTTTACTTCAATAATTAATTTTTTTTAATTATTGAGAGAAAACATCTTTGGCAAAAATCAAGTCAATCTGCTAATTTAAATTAAATAAGATGTGAAATGCCAGCTATATTTTAAGGGGAAGATATGGTGAAAGCAGAAAGCAGAGTGTATAGCCTGATCTCTGGCACATGGTAAGTGATTATAAAAAGGTGAGTTTTATTATTAGATGTCTGGGCCTTAGTTTCCTCATCTGTCAAATGGGGCATTTAACCAGAGAGTCTCCAAGATTCTTTCCAATCCTGAAAGGGTTTGGCTTATAGGAAGAACTCCTTATTAACAAGGTCTCTGAGGCCCTTCATGGGCCACCCCTGCCCACACCTCCAGTCTCGCCCACACCTCCAGTCTCGCTCACACTGAAGCCATCCTCACAAAATTAATCAAGCTAAATTGCTAAGTTTTTAACAAAAGCATAAGCTGTAAGTAAAAGCATAGCTAAGCATTAACCGGCTTGCCCTATAGCCCACTTTCTTATAGCTGCTTATTGCTTAAAAGTCACACAGCCCCTGCCACAGGGTCCTAACTTTTCCAGATAACATCTTTAACATTAAAAAAACCTCAAGGTTTCTATTTTGAGATATTTACAAAATTCTGCTTTGCTTTTTTTTTTTTTTTTTTTTTTAGATCTTGCTCTGTCACCTAGGCTGGAGTGCAGTGGGGGTGACCTCAGCTCACTGCAGCCTCCACCTCCCAGGCTCCAGTGATCCTCCCACCTCAGCCTCCAGAGTTGCTGGGACCACAGGCATGTGCCACCCAGCTAATTTTTTGTTGCCAAGGCTGGTCTGGAGCTCCTGACCTCAAGCCATCTGCCCACCTCAGCCTCCCAAAGTGCTGGGATTATAGGCGTGAGCCACTGCACCCGGCCCCAAATCCTGCATTTCAGTGGGTCCACCAACACCTGTCAGTCTAAAGCCTCCTTCCAAAGAGACAACTCAACACAAGAATGTAGTTTCTTCCTCTCCCTGTCCCATGACTCCACCCCTCACTCCTCGGCCAATCAGCAACCCCCAGCTCCTTCAAATTCCCTTAAAAACCCCAGTCTGAGAAACTCCCCAGGGAGGTGGATTTGAGGTTCTCTCCCACCTCCTTGTTTGGCTGCCTTTTGATTATGAAACTTTCTCTGCCTCAGTTCCTGCTGTTTTGGTGCATTGCTCCATTACTGCACACACAACAGACATGAACCTTGTGGTCCTATATAGCACCATGGCGTGACCCAGTCACACTGGCTTTCTTTCAGGTCCTCATGTGCAGCTTGCCATCTCCCAGCACTGGGCCTTTGCCCGTGCCACTCCCTCTGCCTGGAACACTTGTCCTGCTCCGCCATCTCTGTAATGCTCCTTATCCCTCAGCACCCCGGGCACCCGTGTACCTCACTTCTGCAGTGCTCTCCATTGTGACAAGGTTCAATTAATTGTGGGAGAATTTGATTGACACCAGACCATGAAGATCTACTATGCAGAAACTCTTTCTACTTCTGGTATCTCCAGGGCCCAGAGGGGACAGAGCCTGGCTCGCTGTGGACCAAATGCATGAGATTTTTTTCAGTGCGTTCCGAATTCTCCCTAGTGTCACCCCACACAGGCAGGGAGAATATGGACCTTGAGGTCAGACAAGGTTCTCCGCTAGAGGCCCTGCTCCCATCCCTGCCCCCTCACCCCATTCTAGAACTGTCAGTCCAAATGTCACCTGCCTCCCTCCACCCCCAAGGGTAAAAATAACCTTGTCTGAAATCTGACACCTACCCTCTGTGGGTCATCTTGAGAATTGCCCCTGTCCCAGAGGTGACCACCAGGGGCCTGGGGGAGTAGGGAGGGCATTTCCTGAATGCTTTCCCATTCACATCTCATTTGACCCATAAGCAAATATGTGAGGTGCTATCACTGGTGAGGTACATAGGGATCCCGCACTCAGAGACATCTCAAGTCCTGCCTAAGGTGCCCAGCCAGAGCTCGAGCACAGCCCTTTCCTCGGCACCACGAGGTGAATAGGGCTTTGAAGACACCTGCTTGCTTGTATGGGTGGAGAAACTGAGCCCCAGGGGGCTCTCTGTCTAAGGTCTTCAGTCAAAGGGCTTAGTTAGGCAGACTTTGGGCAAGTTATTGAGAAGCTGTTTCCTCCTTGGTTAAAGAAAGACAAGCACTCCCACCCAGCTCCATGAATTGCTGCATGTGGATGAAAGGAGAGAAGCTAAAGGCACCTGGCTAACTGTGCAGTTTTGTGCACGTGTGAGGAAGCGGTGTCAAGGAGGCTGGAGAGGATGCAGCAGCTGGGCTGGATGGGGACTTGTCTTTCCTAAACAACCAGACTCTAGCAGCGTTTGTTCTCACTTTGGGAAACAGAAATGTGGAAAGAGGGTTTGCTGGTGGACAGTGGGTTCTTGAGACAGGTAGATTGCATTTGAATCCCGGCCCCACCCTCAGTACAGGGAGCGGGGTGGGGATGATGGGGAGGTCTCTGGGCAACTTGCTTCCCCTCTCTCCATTCATTCATTCAACAAGTGAGCACCCCCCACAGACCGGTTTCCTCATCTGTAAAATGGGAATCCCAAATACTTTGTAGATTGTTGTGAGGTGCAAAGGAGGGAACACATGAACAGCTTTGTAAGTTGCCATGGTCCTGCCTTCCTTTTATGCCAGCACTTACTGAGAGACTGAGTCAGGCCTGCAGGGAGTGGGGAGCGTGGGCAAGCCTGAGCCGCGCCCTCACAGAGCCAAGGTCTAGATAGGGAGACAGCCGCTGAACATGAAGTTCCCTAGGAGATCTGCTACACCGAGGGGCAGCTGGGCTGCAGAGTGTGAGCAGAGTCTGACCCTGTGTGCAGATGGACAGGAACCTGCAGGACAGGGGCCAGGCTGGGTGGGCCGGGGTTCAGCTCCTCCGTATTGTTTGGGCGCTGTCCCTGCCTTATGCCCAAAACTAACAACCTAACAGGAGCAAGTGTTTCAACCTCTCCGGACTCAGCTTCCTCAGTTTATAAAACCGAAAGTGGTGGGCGGCAGGTAAGATTGAGAACAATCATTCTTCCTTGTATATTTAATTAATGTGGCCAAGCACTGTAATGAACTATTTTTTTTTTTTTTTTTTGAGATGGAGTTTCGCTCTTGTTGCCCAGGCTGGAGTGCAATGGCACAATCTTGGCTCACCACAACCTCCACCTCCTGGGTTCAAGCGATTCTCCTGCCACAGCCTCCTGAGTAGCTGGGATTACAGGCATGCGCCATCACGCCCGGCTAATTTTTTGTATTTAGTAGAGACGGGTTTTCACCATGTTCATCAGGCTGGTCTCAAACTCCTGACCTCAGGTAATCCACCTGCCTCGGCCTCCCAAAGTGCTAGGATTGCAGGTGTGAGTCACCGCCCAGCCACATTTTTTTATTTCTTTTGAGAGAGTTTCACTCTGTCACCCAGGCTGGAATGCAGCGGTGTGATCTTGGCTCACTGCAACCTCCACCTCCGGGGTTCAAGCTATTCTCCTGCCTCTGCCTCCCAAGTAGCTGGGATTACAGGTGTGTGCCACCATGCCTGGATACTTTTTGTATTTTTAGTAGAGATGGGGTTTCACCATGTTGGCCAGGGTGATCTCGAACTCCTAGCCTCAAGTGATCCTCCTGCCTTGGCCTCCCAAAGTGCTGGGATTACAGGCGTGAGCCACTGTGCCCAGCCTGTACTGAATATTTTTACACATTATCTCTTTTAATCATCACACAGCCTTAATACCTGAATGTTGTTATTATTCCCATTTTACAGATGGGGAAACAAAGTCTCAGAAAAGGTAACTTGCACATATATGCACACAAAATCACACAGCCAGGAAAGGGCAGAGCTGAGACATCAACCCAAGTCTGCTTACCGCAAAAGCTAAGACTGCTTGACCACTTTGTACAACTGCTTCTCTCTCATCTGGCAGGCAGGACAGTTGCTGCTGCATCCCAGGCATCTGTGACATCCACCGGCTCTTCCTTAACCAGACATGCTAGGCCAGGACCCATACCTGGAGCCAGGACTTCCAAGAAGCTCCCCTCCCTGTCTACCCTTATGTCCTCTGCAGGAGGCCGTGATGGTGTCAGTACCCTTTTCCAGCATGGTCCAGGGTCAAGGCACTTTCCAGAACACTGTCCCACTGGGCCACTGTCAGTGAGGAAATTGCAAACTCTCAGGGAGCTGAAAACTGTACTTTATAAATTCTCAGCTCTCAGAGTGGGAGGAAACCTCAGGTTCAGCTAGACAGGCCTCTCTCAGGTGCAGAAATCTCAGCCCGCCACACTGCCTCTGGTGGCTGTCCAGCATGAGCTTGTTTGCTCCCAGAAGCAGAGGGCTCACTCCCTTCCAAGGGAGACCCTTCTGCTAAAGAGCAAATCTGCCTGTTCTTCCCTATGTCCCACTCACTAGCTGCCTCCCTGTGGCTTCCTCCCTTGGGGCTATTTGCCACCTCCCACCCTCTACCTCCAGCAGACCACAAAAGTGGCCAGAAGCGATTAGAACACAGGCAGTCTGAGTCTGACCCCAAGTATGAATGACCCGCCCTTTCCGTGTGACCCCCCCCCTCAGGGGAGCTGCTTTGACAGCACCCAGTACAGAACCCATGTTCACAGGCAGTCACCCCCATGCCACAGGCCCTGACGGTGGGGTGGGCCATTCTGGGGCTGTGAAGGACAGACCCGGCCTCTTCCCCTCCTCAGACCCCTGCCCTACCTGCCAGACAGCCAAGGCTGCTGCCTGTGCTGCCTCTGGGTCACCATGGCAACAGGTGGCCAGGCAATGGACCCGGGCCCTACCATCCTGCAAGCAACTCTGTTTACCCTGGAGCTGGGCACAGCAGCTACAGGCATCACAATTCCCCTTCAGGAGAGCAAGAGAGAGAGAATGAGAGAGAGCAGAGGGAAAGGAGAAGAAACCAGAGTCAGAGAGAGAGAAAGGAAAGGCGTCAAAGACAGGAGGGAAGGAACAATGCAGAGGTCAGAGCGAGAGAAAAACAGAGGCTGGCAGGGAACAGAGCAAGCAGAAGAGAGGCGAGCAGGAAGGGAGGACAGGCTCCAGACCTCCCCCACTGTGCACCTTCCTCCTGCCTGAGCTGCCCTCCCCTGGCCAAATTCTGGCTGCAGCCAGGACTTCCTGCCCCAGGAAACCAGCAGCCCAGTGGGCCCCTTCAAGGCCCCAGCGGCTGCTCCAGGGTCCTGCGGGCCCTTCCTGCTGGGGATGATGTCCTCTTCCTCCCCAGAAAGTGGGGCCCCTTCTCCCAGCTCCCCCAGCAGCACCTCCCCACTCAGCATCCCCCTCACTACCCCAAGGCCCCAGATGGTTCCCAGGGCCCTCCTGCCTGCCCAGGCCTGCTATCCTCTGGCTCTCTTCTTCCCACCTTACCCAGCTTCCCCTTGCACAACATAACAACATTTTCATTTTCCCAGGAGTGTTCAAGAAAACATTCCTGAGCGGAGCAGAGAGGTGGGAGAGGAGCTGTGATTTTACTCACTGAAGGAGTGCCCTTACACTGCAGGTGTTGCAGAGCAGGTCTCAGAACAAGGCTTAGCAGAGGAACCTGTGGTGCTGCTTCTAAGGCCCAAGCTGCCAAATCTGGGCATTAGGAGGTCCAGAGCTGAGCACAATCTAGTCTCTGGCAGAGGCAGCTGAGCTCAGCAGGTGTGCCAGCAACTCTCTACGCGGCACCATCCACACTCCAGATGCTGCCTTCAGCCTCAAGCTCTCTGGCTGCAAAGTAGCCCTATCAGACCTGTTCCAATTCCACTCCCATCCCCATATTTTCCTACACTGTCTCAGAGGAATTTGAGCCTACAAGAAGGTTTATTGAAATAATCAGAAGGGTGAAGAGAAAGAGAGAAGAAAGAAACAGGAAGGCATGGGGGCTGGCAAAGAGGACAGCAAGGCCCAAGGGCTTCAGACTGTCTGGCTAGATAACCCGAAGCCATTTTACTTGAGCCATTCTGAACCTCCATATCCACATCTGTCAAATGGGAATAAGAATATCATAGTTACCCAGCCTGGGTGACAGAGTGAGACCCTGTCTCTTTAAAAAAAAAAAAAAAAGAGAGAGAGAATATCATAATTGGGATTCAATGAGATTATACATGTAAAGTGCTTAGAACAGGATCTGACTCATAGGAAGTGCCTTCATGTTGTTAAAAAGCCAAGGCAGGCCTGTAATCCCAGCACTTTGGGAGGCCGAGGCAGGCAGATCACTTGAGGCCAGGAGTTTGAGACCAGGCTGGCCAACATGGTGAAACTCTGTCATTACTAAAAATACAAAAAAATTAGCTGGGTGTGGTGGCGGGTGCCTGTAATCCCAGCTACTCGGTAGGCTGAGGCAGGAGAGTCGCTTGAACCTGGGAGGTAGAGGTCACAATGAGCCAAGATCTTGCTGCTGTACTCCATCCAACCTGGGCAACAGGGCGAGACTCTGTCTCAAAAAAAAAAAAAGGCCAGGCACGGTGGCTCATGCCTGTAATCCCAGCCAGCACTTTGGGAGGCTGAGGCAGGAGAATCGCTTGAACCCAGGAGGTGGAGGTTGTAGTGAGCTGAGATCACTCCACTGTAGTCCAGCCTGGGTGACAGCGAGACTCTGTCTCAAAAAATAAAAAGGGCAAGGTGTTGTAGAAAGACCCAGAAAACCATTCTAGTGAGGAAGGGCCTAAACAGGTCCCAAGGGTAAGTGCTGTGACTGGCCAGATGGCCTTTGCAGAGCAGTGGGGGTCAGATGGAGCCTTTCAGCCCTGGGCTATGACAATGGCATCTGCTTTCCCTCCTGGCACTGCCAGTTGAACACATCCTCTCTCTACCAAGACAGAATTCATTGGTTTGTGGTTCATTTCAACCAAGAATCAAGATGTGGAATAGGACAGAGTCTGTGGCACTCTACGAAGCCTCCCGCAGACGCCCACATATGGTCTAACCAGACTCCACAACTGCTGGGAAGCCTTTGCATTTTGTAGGCCCTCGAGAGGCTCAAGACACCTCATGAGGGAAATGGATTATTGGAATAGAAGGCAACAGTCACTAGAAAGCAGCTCGGGTTCACTGAGAACAAGGCATGCTGGGCACACAGGAGCAGACCACTGGGTTAGGAATGGACAAAATTTGCATTTGCATAGACCCAGAACATTGTAAGTGCTCAGTAAATATGTGTTCAATGGAACCTGGGAGCTGTCTCCAATTAAGTACCACATGTACCTGCTCCATTCAACATGTGATCAAATGGCTTACCTGAAGAGACACCTGGTCCTAGATGACCACTTGAAAGGTTGTAACACATAAACTTAAAACCAAGCAGATGAAAATGAAAAAGACTCATTCTATCAACCTGCATTTAAGCTTTTCTGTTGCTATCACTTTTTTAAGTTGTATGCATGCTGGGGTGGCTCCAGCTTAATAGTTGTTTATGGGAAAACAGCCTTATTATTTCATCTGTCCACACACTCAACAATAACAATTCCTGCTGTAACCAAATGGGCACCCTGTGGCTGTTGAAGGCTTCACCCTGTGGTGAGGGGTTGGGGGGTGAAGGGAGTGCATTTCGGGAAGGAATGACTCAGTGGCAGGGAGGAGACAGCCCAAGACTGGCATTTGGCAGGCAGCATGAGGCCCAGTCCTGTGAAGGGGAAAACAGAGGGAACAAGGAGTGGCTCAGGATGACAACCAGGCCGTCGGAGGGACAGTGAGGGGGCCAGGCTGCGTGTGGCCTGGGTGTCAGGCCTCTGGCTGCAAATCCAAAGGCTGGCTGGATTAGAGGACAGAAAGAGGCCTAGTAAAGTGTAAAACCAAGACCCCAAAGGGGTGGACAAGGTTAGGAAGGGGCCGATTCTAGCTGGGAATCAACATAAATCTTTTTAAAAACTCCCACTGCCAGACACAGTGGCTCATGCCTGTAATCCCAGCACTTTGGGAGGCTGAGGCAGGAGGATTGCTTGAAGCCAGGCGTTTGAGACCAACTTGGGCAAGAGAGCAAGATCCCATCTCTACAAAAAAAAAAAAAATTATTTTTTTTTTTTCGAGAGAGTCTTGCTCTGTCTATTGCCCAGGCTGGAATGCAGTGGCTTAATCTTGGCTCACTGCAGCCTTGACCTCCCAGGCTCAAGTAATCCTCCCACCTCAGCATCCCAAGTTGCTGGGACTACAGACGGGTGCCACCATGCCCAGCTAATTTTAATTTTTTATTTTTTACACAGATGGGGTCTTGCCATGTTGCCCAGTCTGGTAAAAGAAAAAGTTTTTAGCCACACCCCAGCCACTCGGAAGGCTGAGGTGGGAGGATCACTTGAGCCAGGAGTTCAAGGTTACGATGAGCTATGATCACATCACTGCACTCCAGGCTAGGCAATAGAGTGAGACCCTGTCTTTTAAAAAATAAAATAAAAATAAAAAATAAATCTAAAAACTCCCATGAAGTTCAGTCCACACTGGGCCCCCCAGCCTCTGCCAAAAGATAAAGGTGCTGGGGGCCAGAGGCATGGTGGCTCACGCCTGTAATCCCAGCACTTTCAGAGGCCGAAGTGAGTGGATCACCTGAGGTTGGGAGCTGGAGACCAGTCTGACCAAAATGGAGAAACCCCGTCTCTACTAAAGATACAAAATTAGCCAGGCGTGATGGTGCATTCCTGTAATCCCAGCTACTTGGGAGGCTGAGGCAGGAGAATTGCTTGAACCCAGGAGGTGGAGGTTGCAGTGAGCCGAGGTCGCACCATTGTACTCCAGCCTGGGCAACAAGAACAAAACTCCGTCTCAAAAAAAAAAAAAAAAAAAAAAAGGTGCTGGGAAAACCTTAAACAGACATAGTGTCTTCTCACATGAACAGACAATAAACAAAAGAGGAACAAGAAGAGGGAAAAGTGCTATGAGAAAGAAAAAACGGGATGTAACAGAAAGAAGGTGGTGGACAGGGAGGAGCTTCTTTAGGCTGTGTAATCAAAGAGGCTTCCTGGCTAGGATCTGAAGGAATGATGAGAAGGAGCAATTGCACAAGACTGTGCAGGGTTGCGGACAAGAGAACAGACAGTGCAAAAACCCCAAGGAAGCGCAGGGACCGGCTGTCAGAGGAAGAACAGGGACGTGTTGGGACAGAAGGACCTAAGAAATGCAGAGAGCAGACTCTGCCCCATCCCCTAAGGTCTTGTATGTCCCAGTGGAGCTTGGATTTTACTCCAAGTGTGAGGGGAAGAACTGGAGGCTGTAGGGGAGGGTGGTGGTCTGGCCTGCGTTGTAAGATCACTCTGCTGCTGTGTGGAGGTGAACTTTAGGATGGAGAGAAGCAGCAGGCAGACTGCTCAGCGGGCCACTGCAGTCAGGGGAGAGGGCTGGCTGGGCAGAGAGGTGGAGCCAGGATGTATTTGGGAGGTAGAAGCAACAGGTCTTGCTGAAGGACTCCACGTGTGTGAGAAGGGACAGGGTGGTGCCAGTTGGAGAGGGTGGTCGAGGGAAGCGGCAGCTACACCTGCGGGCAGTGTAGAGGGAGGGTTTGCGAGCGGCTAGGGGACTTGGTCGTGGAGATGATGGGAGGTGGTAGGCAGGATAAAAATTAGGGAAAAAAGGCCAGGCACAGTGGCTCACGCCTGTAATCCCAGCACTTTGGGAGGCTGAGGCGGGTGGATCACCTGAGGTCCGGAGTCCAAGACCAGCCTGGCCAACATGGTGAAACCCCGTCTCTACTAAAAATACAAAAATTAGCTGGGTGTGGTGGTAGGTGCCTATAATCCCAGCTACTCCGGAGGCTGAGGCAGGAGAATCGCTTGAACCTGGGAGGCAGAGGTTGCAGTGAGCCTAGATCGCGCCATTGCACTCCAGCCTGGGAGACAGAGTGAGACTGCATCTCAAAAAAAAAAAAAAGGAAAAAAGTCAAAATAAATAAATAAGAAAGGAGGATCCAAGCTTAGAATGAGTGACTGGCAGATGGTGGTACTGGTTACTGAGTTGGGGAGATCAGTGTAGAAATAAGTAGGGGACAAGAATTTGTGAGATCCTATTAAACATTTAAAGAGAGGAATCAAGGAACTCAGGCCTGGAGCTCACTGGAGAAGAGGCTACACCTGGAGACACTAACATATATGGGTATTTAAGATCCACAGGATTTTGAGACGTTGTGGTAAATGAAAGAAGGCCACCAATTTTTGCTACTCCTCCCATTCAAAGGTAGAGTCTAACCTCCTCCTCTTGAATCTGAGTCATTTTTAGTGACATTTCAACAGTGACTCTGAGACTAGATCATGACACACCTTGCAGCTTCCCCCCAGGCCTCTTAGAACTCTTGCTCTAGTGGAGCCAGCTGCCAGGTAGAAAATCTAACTATCCCAAGACTGTCATATTGAAGAGGCCACACGTGGGTGCTCCAAATGACAGTCCCAGCTAAACCCAACCTTCCAGCACTCCCCACCGAGGTGCCAGTGAAGGCATCATGGAGCCCCCAGTTCAGCCCATCCACCACTAAGTTCCACTAAGCAGCCTCCATCAATGCCACATAGAGCAGACAAACCACCCAGCCCAGCCCTGCCAGAATTCCTGACCCATAGAATCACAAGATGATAGAAACCAGTTGTTGCTTTAAGCTACTAAGGTTCGGGGTAGTTTGTTACACAGCCACTGTAACTAGAACAGACATCATCCAAGAAGATGGGTTGACAGAGACATTCACACTCGGCTTTTTTTTTTTTTTTTTTTGAGACAGTCTTGCTCTGTCACCCAGGCTGGAGTGCAGTGGCACAATCTCGGCTCACTGCAATCTCCATCTCCCGGGTTCTAGCGATTCTCGTGCCTCAGCCACCCAAGTAGCTGGGATTACAGGAACGCGCCACCATGCCCAGCTAATTTTTGTATTTTTAGTAGAGATGGGGTATCACCATGTTGGTCAGGCTGCTCTCGAACTCCTGACTTCAAGTGATCCGCCTGCCTCGGCCTCCCAAAATGCTGGGATTACAGGTGTGAGCCACCATGCCTGCCCTCACACTCAGCTATTTAGAAGTCACGTGGGGAGGAGGAATCTGCAAAGGAGTCTGCGAGCAAGCAGTCAGTGAGGTGGGAGGACCCCAGGAGAGTCTGGCTCTCCAGAGGGAAGGGGGCCCTGCTGGTGCGTGAGCTCTGAGTCAAGGCAGATGGGGAAACAAGCTATCACTGATTTTTGACAGGAAGGTAGGAAGGAGGGAGGGAGGGGGAAGAGAGGAGTCCAGTTAGAGTGAATTAGGGAAAGAATGAGAGGTAATACCATGGGAACAGAGAAAACTCTTTCCAAAATGTGTGTGGGAAAAGGCAGCAAAGAAACAAGGTAGCAGTTGGAAGGGGCTTTGTTTGCCTAGAGTCTGGGAGATACTAAAGCTGGTTGGTTCATCTGGTCCTGGGACAGATCCAGTAGGAGGGATCCTACTGAGACAAGAGAGCTTTCTACAGGACGGGGGCTAAGAATTGCCTTTGCAGAAGCTCAAAGATCCCTTTTCAGAAATCTATGACTGCTACTTACCATGTACCTACTGTATGCCAGGTCTCGTTCTTGGGGGCCCTTTAATTCTCACTCTGAAGCAGGAATCCTCCTCATTCCTTATTTTACAGATAAGAGAAAGGAAATGGACAGGGAACAAGGAAAGGGCCACCCATGCACTCCTGGCCAGTAAAAGGCAAAGGGGAGACTGGACCTGGGTCCTTCTGACTCCAGAGCCTGGCAGGAGTGCAGCAGAGGGGACATCAGCTGGAGGGCGATCAGGTCACCCAACAACTGGAACTTCTGATACACAGCCTGGGACTTTGGACACCTTGTTATCAGTTGCCTCCCAGCACTCCTACCTTCTGCATGATATGAGCCTATAGGAAAAGAGCTCACTGCAGAAGTGGTTTCCGACCTGTGGATCCCACCCAGGCAGTGGGATCTGCCGGGTAAAGAGTATCACTGCCTCGACTCCCCATCCAGAAGGCCTGCCTTCCTGTTTTCCCAGCTGAGAACCAGTCTGCACAGACACACCTTCTCCTTGCCTTGCTGCCTGGAAGCTCCAGTTCAGTCTTCAAAAGCAAGGGGAGGGTGGGGACCAAGTAAACTCAAAGGCCAAGGAGGGCCTGGGGTGGTGTGGGGGAAGACGGTGCTGAGATGCAAGGCTATGCTTTTCCCCTTGGACTCTCTTCAGAAAGGGCCCCTCCCTTGGCCCCAAAGTCACTTTATGCTTGGGCCCCTTCCTCTCCCATGTTCGCCCTGCTCTCAAAGCCTATAGGCACATGTACATCTGATCTCTTAACACCCCTTCTCTGTAAATACCTGCCATGGCATTAAGCTACCTGGCACGAAGCAGGCTCCAGTTGCAGGGACCATTATCACCCCCCACCGCCCCAACCCCGACATCCCTATGTTATGAATGAGGAAGCTGAGGCTGGGGAAGAGAGCCGGTCAAGAACCAGCCAGAGTCTTCCGACTTCGGACCTCCCACTTGTCCCTCCCACCACTCACGGGGCTGTATCCCTGGAGAAGAAAAAGAGGAATTGGGTCTCTCCACACCCTCCCTAAGGGATCAAAAGAAAAGTCAGACCTACCTGCTTCAGCTCGGCCCAGGTGTGGTGCTGGAAACCAGAGGCTGCTGAAAGGAAGTCCCAAGGCCACTCCCCTTCCGACCTCTCACCGAGTCCACGTCTGGCACAGGGCCACACCTGGGCAGGGCCACGCCCCAGGGCAGATCACAGCCTATTCTAGAGGTCGTAAATAAGACAATGCCAAGGAGTGGAGAGACCTGAGATTCCCCACCCCCCGCAGGCAACCTGAACCTGGTCCTCTCTGGGCCACAGCCCGGGTGCTGTTAGCCAAGCACTGACCTACCAGGCTTCTGAATAACAGACGACGTAAAGCTGTGCACAGCTTTCTTTCTTTTTTTCTTTTTTTATTTTATTTTTTCTTTTTCTTCTGGAGACAGGGTCTTGCTCTGTCACCCAGGTTGGAGTGCAGTGGCGCCATCATGGCTCACTGCAGCCTCTACGTCCCAGGCTCAAGCAATCCTCCCACCTCAGCCCCTTGAGTAGCTGAGTAGCTGAGACTACAGGCACGCACCACCACACCTGGCTAATTTTTTTTTTTTTTTTTGAGATGGAGTTTCATTCTGTTGCCCAGGCTGGAGTGCAGTGGCACAATCTCGGCTCACTGCAACCTCCGCCTTCTGGGTTCAAGCGATTCTCCTGCCTCAGCCTCCCGAGTAGCTGGGATTACAGGCACAAGCCTCCACACCCAGCTAATTTTTATATTTTTAGTGGAGATGGGGTTTCACCATGTTGGCCAAGCTGGTCTTGAACTAATGATCTTAAGTGATCCGCCCCCCGCTCCCTCAGCCTCCCAAAGTGCTGGGATTACAGGCATGAGCCACGGCACCAAGCCCAATTTTTTAAATGTTATTTTTAGTAAGATGAGGTCTGTGTTGCCCAGGATGGTCTGGAACTCCTGGGCTCAAGGGATCCTCCTGCCTCTGCCTCCCAAAGTGCTGGGACTACAGGCATGAGCCACTGAGCCTGGCCCATAGAGCTTTCTAGGCTGTAAAAGAATACACACATGTGGTAATAAGAAACTCCTTGAAGACAGGGGCCACATCTCATGTGTCTCTGGAATCCTGGTGCATCCTTACTAAGCACCTACTAAGTTTCAGGCTTTTCTATACATTATATAAAATTGCTTTATATCCATAACACCATTCATCCTCACCAAAACCCTGTGAGGGACAATTATTCCTCCTGCACAGAAAAGGGAACTGAGGCTTGGGTTATAAAAGCCTTGTCTAATGGCACTCTGCCGGTGAGCGATGGAGCTGAGATTTCGCTTTTCTCAATACCAAAGCCATTTCTACTCACTGGGCTGCCTCTCCAAGTTGCTTAAGCTGGGTGCAGTGGCTGACACCTATAATCCCAGCACTTTCAGAGGCCAAGGCAGAAGGATCACTTGAGGCCAGGAGTTCAAGACCAGCCTTGGCAACATGGCGAAACCCCATCTCTAGAATACATTTTTAAAAAATCAGAGTCTTTGCCGCCGCGCCAGCGAGCGCCGCCCGGGAGGCAGCGGCTGGAGGAGCGGACGGGCCCCGCAGGGCCCGAGGGCAAGGAGCAGCCGCCTGCCTTGGCCTCCCAAAGTGCCGAGATTGCAGCCTCTGCCCGGCCGCCACCCCGTCTGGGAAGTGAGGAGTGTCTCTGCCTGGCCGCCCATCGTCTGGGATGTGAGGAGCCCCTCTGCCTGGCTGCCCACTCTGGAAAGTGAGGAGCGTCTCCGCCCGGCCGCCATCCCATCTAGGAAGTGAGGAGCGCCTCTTCCCAGCCGCCATCACATCTAGGAAGTGAGGAGCGTCTCTGCCCGGCCGCCCATCGTCTGAGATGTGGGGAGCGCCTCTGCCCCGCCGCCCCATCTGGGATGTGAGGAGCGCCTCTGCCCGGCCGAGACCCCGTCTGGGAGGTGAGGAGCGTCTCTGCCCGGCCGCCCCGTCTGAGAAGTGAGGAGACCCTCTGCCTGGCAACCACCCCGTCTGAGAAGTGAGGAGCCCCTCCGCCCGGCAGCTGCCCCATCTGAGAAGTGAGGAGCCTCTCCGCCCGGCAGCCACCCCGTCCGGGAGGGAGGTGGGGGGTGGGTCAGCCCCCCGCCCGGCCAGCCGCCCCATCCGGGAGGGAGGTGGGGGGGTCAGCCCCCCGCCTGGCCAGCCGTGCCGTCCGGGAGGGAGGTGGGGGGATCAGCCCCCCGCCCGGCCAGCCGCCCCGTCCGGGAGGTGAGGGGCGCCTCTGCCCGGCTGCCCCTACTGGGAAGTGAGGAGCCCCTCAGCCCGGCCAGCCACCCCGTCCGGGAGGGAGATGGGGGGGTCAGCCCCCCCACCCGGCCAGCCGCCCCGTCCGGGAGGGAGGTGGGGGGTCAGCCCCCCGCCTGGCCAGCCGCCCCGTCCGGGAGGGAGGTGGGGGGGTCAGCCCTCCGCCCGGCCAGCCGCCCCGTCTGGGAGGTGAGGGGCGCCTCTGCCCAGCCACCCCTACTGGGAAGTGAGGAGCCCCTCTGCCCGGCCAGCCGCCCCGTCCGGGAGGGAGGTTGGGGGGGTCAGCCCCCCGCCCGGCCAGCCGCCCTGTCCGGGAGGGAGGTGGGGGGGGTCAGCCCTCCGCCCGGCCAGCCGCCCCGTCTGGGAGGTGAGGGGCGCCTCTGCCCGGCCGCCCCTACTGGGAAGTGAGGAGCCCCTCTGCCCGGCCAGCCGCCCCGTCCGGGAGGGAGGTGGGGGGGGGGTCAGCCCCCCTGCCCAGCCAGCCGCCCCGTCCGGGAGGTGAGGGGCGCCTCTGCCCGGCCGCCCCTACTGGGAAGTGAGGAGCCCCTCTGCCCGGCCAGCCGCCCCGTCCGGGAGGGAGGTGGGGGGGTCAGCCCCCCGCCCGGCCAGCCGCCCCGTCCGGGAGGGAGGTGGGGGGGGTCAGCCCCCCTGCCCGGCCAGCCGCCCCGTCCGGGAGGTGAGGGGCGCCTCTGCCCGGCCGCCCCTACTGGGAAGTGAGGAGCCCCTCTGCCCGGCCACCACCCTGTCTGGGAGGTGTGCCCAACAGCTCATTGAGAACGGGCCAGGATGACAATGGCGGCTTTGTGGAATAGAAAGGCGGGAAAGGTGGGGAAAAGATTGAGAAATCGGATGGTTGCCGTGTCTGTGTAGAAAGAAGTAGACATGGGAGACTTTTCATTTCGTTCTGCACTAAGAAAAATTCCTCTGCCTTGGGATCCTGTTGATCTGTGACCTTACCCCCAACCCTGTGCTCTCTGAAACATGTGCTGTGTCCACTCAGGGTTAAATGGATTAAGGGCGGTGCAAGATGTGCTTTGTTAAACAGATGCTTGAAGGCAGCATGCTCGTTAAGAGTCATCACCAATCCCTAATCTCAAGTAATCAGGGACACAAACACTGCGGAAGGCCGCAGGGTCCTCTGCCTAGGAAAACCAGAGACCTTTGTTCACTTGTTTATCTGCTGACCTTCCCTCCACTATTGTCCCATGACCCTGCCAAATCCCCCTCTGTGAGAAACACCCAAGAATTATCAATAAAAAAATAAATTTAAAAAATAAAAAAAAATAAAAAAAATAAAAAATCAGCCAAGCAGCTGGGCACGATGGCTCACACCTGTAATCCCAGCACTTTGGGAGGCCAAGGTGGGCGGATTGCCTTGTAATCCCAGCACTTTGGGAGGCCGAGGTGGGCAGATTGCCTAAGGTCAGGAGTTCGAGACCAGCCTGGCCAACATGGTGAAACCCCGTCTCTACTAAAAATACAAACAATTAGCCGGGCATGGTGGCAGGCGCCTGTAATCCCAGCTACTCAGGAGGCTGACGAAGGGGAATTGCTTGAACCCAGGAGGCGGAGGTTGCAGTGAGCCAAGATCGCGCCATTGCACTCCAGCCTGGGCAACAGAGCAAAACTCTGTCTCAAAAAAAAAAAAATAGCCAAGCATAGTTGACACATTGTTCTTTTGGTTGCTAGGTCAGGTGTACCAGTTACTTGGGAGGCTGAGAGGGGAAGCTACAGCAGGAAGATCACCTGAGCCTAGGAATTCAAGGCTTCAGTGAGCTATGATCGCACCACTGCACTCCAGCCTGCACAACAGAGTGAGACCTTGTCTCGAGAAAACAAAAACAGATGCTTAATAATTCACGTCCACTGATATTAATTAGTTAATATATCATTTGCTGAGGACAAATTATTACTACTGAAGAAGCCCTAGGCAGGATATACATATTACATGGACAAGGGGGTCAAGGAGGGTGCCCTTAACTCCCTCATTTCTCTGTGGACCTGGCTCCTTCACATCTCTTACATACAGGTGCCTCTGCCTGGATCATTCTTCCTAACCCAGAAAAGCTTTTAGGGCCAACCTAACCCATCACCTCCTCCAGGGAGCCCACCCTGACCACTGGGCTGGTGAGGGGCTATCTTGGTGCTTCCCTCTGTCACATCCTGGCTGTGCTGTGCTGTGCTGCCATAGTAGGTTTGTACCTCCCTCTGTCTCTCCATCAACCTGAGGGCATCTGAGGACACGTCTAGTCTGGCTCATCCCTGTGTCCCCAAAGTGTCAGACTCTGGTCTGCCCCAGTCCGTCACTGCCCCAATGTCACCTCTAACCCGCAAGGCTGCCCCTGGGAATGGCAGGAGCACACAGGCCTGCAGCCAGGGAGCTGGCAGAGGACCCAGCCAGCAGCACCATCTGTCCCTGGAGCCACAGGACAGAGCAGGCATAAGGCAGAGGTGTCAGTTCCTTGGCTCAGCCAGGTCAGCCCAGGACAAGGAGAGGAGCTTCAGCACCCAGGGCCCCTGCCCAGCTGGAGCTTGGGGTCAGATGAGGCTTTGAATTCTCTAATTAGATCACAGTGGCTTCATACCAGAGCCTTGGTTTTCTAACTTGTAAAGCCAGATAAATACCAGAAGCCTTGCAAAGCTGTTGGGAAGTTTAAATATGCCCGACACTTAGTAGGTCCTCAACAGAAAAGTTTGCTTTCACCATCTCATCTGACCAACTGACCCTACCATTGAACCACTGAGAAAACTGAGGTTCACATGAGATGGAAAAAAAAAAAAAGAAAACTATTCACCATGGCCAATTATGTGCCGAGTTCTCCATTTTTTCAACATCTCTATTCCTGACAACAATTTGGCATGATCTGCAGGAAGAGAACTGGTTCATATTAGGAAACTGATGCCCACAGAGGTGAGGTGAGTGAGTGCCTCTAAGGCAGCACCCTTTTCGTCATCGGGCCGAGTGATGAGCAGCTCTCCGAAGGCTCCCGGGATGCCAGCTTGGCCCTGCTCCAGCCCAGGCACAGGTGAGGGGCAGTGGGCAGCCTCCCTCGACCCTGAGGTGTGTGGGGTGGGGTCAGCTCAGCCTGGGGCCCTGAATCTACACTGTCAGTGTGTGAGGGTGGGCAGAGGAGGCTGGGATGGGGTGGGTCCACATGTAACAGTGAGGCCACATTCTAGGTGCACGGAAGTTCCAGATGCCCCGCTAGCCAAGACAAGGGCTGGAAACGGGGACCCAGTCTAGCAGATGAGAGCTCTGGGTCTCTTGCCAGGTGTGCAAACCCAGGCATGTCACCTCACTTCTCTGTGCCTCGTCTCTCACGGGGGCTGAGCCTTTTACCCACCTCCCTGTTGTGAGGAGTCAGGGGGTGAATGGGGAGGCAGCTGAGACCTTCAAGGTGCTGGCCATACAAAGAAGGGGAACCATGATGATGTGTTTCCCTGGGTCGCTGAGCCCAGCGTGCGGGAACTGCATATCTTGGCACTAAGCCTGGGGACAAGGGAGCCCTCATGGCTCTCACAGGCAGGTAGGCAAGACAACATGACCCACAGCGCTCGAAAGCCCAAACTCAGCCTACAAGGCCTGGACCCCCAGCCTGCAGGTCCTGGAAGCCTGCCCTCAGCCTCTTCCAGCTGTTCCCTTTGCTCCCTCCACTCCAAGTGGAGTGAGGAGTGAGCAGCAGGGGCTGCTGGGCCCCTATTCAGCTGCTCAGATGCACCAAGCTCGCCCCAGCCTTGGAGCCTGCCAATGGATTCTGTTCCCCTTGGCTGGAATGCTCTTCCCTCAGATCTTCCCAAGGCTGCCTTCTCAGCTGCTAGCTTTCTGCTCAGCTGTCGTCTGCTCAGAGAGCTCTCCCCTGACCCCCTCATCATTCTCTCACAGCTCCCTGTTCTCCAGACAGTCTCAATTTAATCCCAGCAATGCTACTTACTAGCTGTGTTACCTCGGGCAACTTACTTAACCTGTCTGTCTCAGTTTCATCTTTAATACGGACACAATTATCTACTTCACAGAGTTGTTATAAGGAATAATGAGTTACTGCAGGCATGGCATACAGCTAGCACTTGTATGGCATTTACTGTTATTACTACTATTCATAGCACTTATTGCAGATTTTCATCATTGTTTATTTGAATACCTTCTCCCTATCTCTCCTGCACTAGCTGTCAGCTCCAGGAAACAGGCTATATATATCATTGGCCACAGCATACCCAGCACTGGCTAACTGTTAATCCCCCAGTACAGTAAGTACCCGTGGAGGGAACGAGTGAAGTATATACAACATCCTGAGGAGACGTCATTAACTCTAGGGACAGACAAGATGAGGATTCAAAGGGGAAATGATAGCCCAGCTGGGTTTTGAAAGATGAAAAAGAGTCCTCCACTGAACAGGGAAAAGTTGAAAGCTTTTCATCTAAAATGTGGGATAAAACAAAGATGCCCACTTTTACCACTTATATCCAACGTAATACCGGAAGTCCTAGCCAGAGCAATTAGGCAAGAGAGAGAAATAAAAGGCATCCAAATTGGAAAGAAGGAAGTTAAATTGTCCCTGTTTGCAGATGTCATAATCCTATATATAGAAAACCCTAAAGCCTCCACTAAAAAACTGGTAGGAATAATAAATTCAGTAAAGTTGCAGGATACAAAATCAACATACAAAAGTCAGTAGTCTTTCTATATACTAATAGCAAACTATCTAAAAAAGAAATCTGGAAAACAATCCCATTGACAATAGCTACGAAAAATAAAATAAAATAAAATACCTGAGAATAAATTTAACCAAGGAGGTAAAAACCAGGAGTGGTGGCTCATGCCTGTAATTCCAGCTACTCAGGAGGCTGAGGTGGGAGGATTGCTTGAGCCCAATAGTTTGAAACCAGCCTGGGCAACATAGCAAGACTCTATCTCTTAAAATGTTTTTTTCAGTGCACACAAGGGTAGATAAATAATTTAATTTTTTTCTTTTTTTTTTTTTTTTTTGAGATGGAATCTTTCTCTGTCACTCAGGCTGGAGTGCAGTGGCATGATCTCGGCTCACTGCAACCTCCGCCTCCCGGGTTCAAGCAATTCTCCTGCCTCAGCCTCCTCAGTAGCTGGGATTACAGGTGCGCACCACCATACCTGACTAATTTTTGTATTTTTAGTAGAGATGGGATTTCACCATGTTGACCAGGCTGGTCTCGAACTCCTGACCTTGTGATCTGCCTGCCTTGGCCTCCCAAAGTGCTGGGATTACAAGCGTGAGCCACCATGCCTGGCCTAAGTATAAAAATTTTTTTTAATTTTTTTAAATAAAAAATCTGCCAGGTGTGGTGGCACATGCCTGTAGTCTCAGCTACTTGGGAGGCTGAGGCAGGAGTATCATTTGAGCCCAGGAATTCATAGCCACAGTGAGCTATGATCAGACCACTGCGCTCCAACCTGGGCAACAGAGGGAAACACTGTCTCTTAAAAAATAAATAAAGGAGATGAAAGATCTCTACAGTGAAGACCAGATGCGATGGCTCACGTCTGTAATCCCAGCATTTTGGGAGGCCAAGGTGGGCGGATCACCCAAGGTCAGGAGTTCGAGACGAGCCTTGCCAACAATGGTGAAGCCCTGTCTCTACTAAAAATACAAAAATTAGCCAGGCATGGTGGCACACACCTGTAATCCCAGCTACTCGGGGGACTGAGGGAGAAGAATCACTTGAACCCAGGAGGCAGAGGTTGCAGTGAGCCAAGATCATGCCACTGCACTCCAGCCTGGGCTACACAGTGAGACTCTGTCTCAAAAAAAAAAAACTCTACAATGAAAACTATAAATCATTAATGAAAGAAATTGAAGAAGATATAAATGAAAAGATCCCATGTTCATGGATCAGAAGAATTATGGTGACAATGTCCATACTACTCAAAGTGATCTACAGATTCAATGCAATCCCTATCAAAGTGCCAATGACATTCTTCACAGAAACAGAAAAAACAAGCCTAAAATTCATATGGAACCACAAAAGACCCCAAATAGCCAAAGCAATCTTGAGCAAAAAGAACAGAGCCAAAGGCATCATACTGTACTACCTGATTTCGAAATATACTACAAAGCTACATTAACCAAAACAGTATGGTAGTGGTATAAAAACAGACAGACATATAGACCAATGGAACAGAATAGAGAGCTCCAAAATAAATCTACACATTTACAGCCAACTGATTTTCAACAAAGGTGCCAGAACACACATTGGGGAAGGGACAGTCTATTCAACAATTGATGTTGGGAAAACTGGAAACCCACATGTAGAAAAATGAAATCAATCCCTTATCTCTCACTGTATAAAAAAATCAGGCCAGGTGCAGTGGCTCACACCTGTAATCTCAGCACTTTGGGAGACTGAGGCGGGTGGATCACCTGAGGTCAGGAGTTCGAGACTAAGCTGGCCAACATGGTGAAATCCCATCTCAACTAAAAATACAAAAGTTAGTTAGGCGTGGTGGCATGTGCCTGTCATCCCAGCTACTTGGGAGGCTGAGGCAGCAGGAGAATCACTTGAACCTGGGAGGCGGAGGTTGCAGTGAGCCGAGATCATGCCACTGCACTCCAACCTAGGCGACAGAGTGAGACTCCATCTCAAAAAAAAATAAAAAATAAAAAATAAAAATGAGTTAAAGACTTAAATGTACGACCCCCAAACTACAAAATTACTAGAAGAAAACATAAGGGAAACACTTCATGACGTTGTGCTAGGTAAGAATTTTTTGGATAGGGTCTCAAAAGCACAGGCAACAAAAGCAAAAATAGATGTGATTTCTTTATACCAAAACACTTCTGCACAGCAAAGGAACCAATCAACAGAGTTAAGAGACAACCTACAGAATGGGAGAAAATATTTACAAACTATATATCTGACAAGGGGTTAACATCCAAAATATACAAAGAAGTAAAACAACTCAATAGAAAAAAAAATTAAAATGGGCAAAAGACCTGAATAGGCATTTCTCAAAGGAAGCTATACAAATGTCCACCAGGTATATGAAAAAAATGCTCAACATCACTAATCATCATGGAAATGCAAATCAAAACCACAATGAAATAGCATCTCATACCTGTCAGAATAGCTACTATCAAAAAACCAGAGCCAGACGTGGTGGCTCACGCCTGTAATCCCAGCACTTTGGGAGGCCAAGGCAGGTGGATCATGAGGTTATGAGTTCGAGACCAGGCTGACCAACATGGTGAAACCCCATCTTTACTGAAAATACAAAAAATTAGCCAGGCATGGTGTCGCAATGTCTGTAATCCCAGCTATTTGGGAGGCTGAGGCAGGAGAATCACTTGAACCCGGGAGGCGGAGGTTGCAGTGAGCCAAGGTCGTGCCACTACACTCCAGCCTGGGCGACAGAGTGAGACTCCGTCTCAAAACAAACAAACAAACAAACAAAACCAGAAGACAATATGTGTTGGCAAGGATTTGGGGAAAAGGCAACCTTTTGACACTGTTCATGGGAATGTAAATTGGTACAGCCATTATGGAAAACAGTATGGAGGTTCCTCAAAAAATTAAAAATAGAATTACCATATGATCCAGCAGTCCCACTACTGGGTATATAGCCAAAGGAAATGAAATCAGTATATTGAAGAGATACCTCTACTCCCGTGTTTATTGCAGCACTCTTCACAATAGCCAAGACATGGAACCAACTAAGTGTCCACCAGTGGATGAATGGATTTTTTTAATGTGGTATAAAGCTGGGTGTGGTGGCTCAAACCTGCAATCCCAACAGCCAAGGGGAGAGGATAGTTTGAGGCCAGGAGTTCAAGACCAGCCTGGTCAACATAGAGAGAACCCATCTCTACAAAAACTTAAAAAAAAAATTAGCTGGGCACAGTGGTGCATACCTCTAATTCCCAGCTACTCAGGTGGCTGAGGCAGGAGGCTTGCTTGAGCCCAGGAGCTCGAGGCTGCAGTAAGCCATAATTGCACCACTGTATTCCAGCCTGGGTGACAAAGCAGGACTCCATCTCAAAAAAAAAAAAAAAAAATATATATATATATATATACACACACACACACACACACACACACACACACACACACACACACTATGGAATACTATTCAGCCATAAAAATAAAATAAAATCCTGCCATTTGCAACTACATGGATGAACCTGGAGTATGTTATGGTGGAGTTTTTTTTTTTGTTTTCTTTTGTTTTTGTTTTTGTGTGTGACAGGGTCTGGCTCTGTTGCCCAGGCTGAAATGCAATAACTTCAGCTCACAGCAACCTTCACCTCCCAGGCTCAAGCCATCCTCCCACCTCAGCCTCCCAACTAGCTGGGACTAGAGGCGCGTGCTACCACACCTGGCAATTTTTGTGGTTTTTGTAGAGATCGGGTTTTGCCATGTTGCCCAGGCTGGCCTCGAAGTCCTGAGCTCAAGCGATCCGCCCATCTCAGCCTCCCGAAGTACTGGGATTATGGGCACGAGCCACCTCCCCCAGAGTATGTTATATTAAGTGAAATAAGGGCCAGGCACAGAAAGACAAATACTACATGACC